>NC_000005.10:162124960-162427990 GCF_000001405.40 Homo sapiens
TGTGTGTGTGTGTGTGTGTGTGTGTGTGTGTGTGTATTTGCAACTAAGCATATCAAAAACAGAATAGAATGAAAGGTTTCTCAGCTTAGATGATGTCTCTTTGACCATACCTCAACTGTCTTCAATAGTTCTTATAATTATGTCGGAAAAAATAAAACCCTGGGACAAATATGCTATATTCTGAGAAAACAGAAACTTTCACTTTCTGGTAGAGAAACAACTAGATAAATCTATTGCCTATTTTTTTCTCTTAATTTCCAACATTTATATATATATTTATTTCCAGTTGAATCATTGAGCAAACTCTGTTTGGTGCGAGTGTTCTTTTTAATCTTCTGGATATTCATTTTTACCCTGTTGCTTGCTCATCTATCCTTTCTGTAGTGTCTGATTTTAATATACGTTTTAAAATTTTATCATGAAATATAATCAAAGAGTGTCTGGATTCTAGTGGCTAAGTCATTTCCCACCAAGATTTTGGATTATATAATCATTGAGGTCTCAACGCAAATGTAGATAGCAGCTTCACTTTAAGGCATGATGCATAAGGTTTGAGGTCTTGTGCCATTTTTGATAGTTAGGATTCCCAGTTTTTAAACACTACTTGTTAATTGCTGAAAAGTTATTAAGGCAAGAAGACACGTCAGTTGTCCAAAGAACAGCAAGAAGTTCAGGTTGGTTGAGAGTAGGCATCAAGCAGAAGAAAATTTTGGTTTAATCAAAGTGGTGGTTTGTCAGATGAACGTAATAAAAGACAGGAGAATTGAGGGAGTGGTTGTAATGACCAACCAAAAAACTTACACAGAGTAAGGAAGGAGAGACCACTGAGGGGATGAGGGAAGGTTATAAGGTCATAGAATCAATAGACAAAGGTCTCCATAAAGTAAAAAGATTTGGAATGCTAGAGTATAAGAGTATAAGAGGGGCTTAACTGGAAACAAATAAGAGATGTTGTTCCATAGTAAGATTCATGAAATAGATATTATGGAAAGGTTACAGTTATTAATTTAAAAATAGTAATGTCTTGAGTATGCCATTGAAGAGGGTGAATGAAATAGTATGGAGGTCAACCTCATACACCATCCATCTAGAGAAATTTAAGAAACTTAGAAGACAGAGATTTGTGGGTCATATTTTTGAAACCTCAAGAATTAATACGAAAGATGTGGAGTATGTGATAGTGAGCCAGTAGTTAAAATCTTCAAGAAATGAGGGGGTAATGACATTTCATATTAAGATTAGACATGGTAGATTCAAGTCAGCTAGTGTTGGTGCAGCTATTGAGAGTATGACTGAAGAAGTCGTACTTGTGATTTCATCTTCACCCCTACAGATGAGGAAAGGCATTCTAGAGGATTGGATGTTTATCACAGTGTGCAATCCAGTGTTCCACCCACCAGTGGGTCCCTGATAAATGGAAAAGCCTATGGAAATCATTGTCCTAGAGTAGTGTGTGAACTCACTTTTGACCTCTATTGTGGGGGGATGGAATTATATTAAGTGTGAGACTCCACTTGACATCTTTAGATAGAGTTAAAACTTTGGGAAAGGCAGATGTTATCCCAGCATGAGGTTTCCCTCTGCACACCAAAGGTGGTAGATGGCCTAGGAAATGCTTCACATCGTCCCCAGGAGTAATTCCAAATACCTTAGCATGACATACATGACACTTCACACTCAATTCTCCGAGCCCATCTTTCTCCACCTTCCCCTTCACCTAATTCTGGCAGTCAACATTATAGCCACATGAACTGTTTGTAGTTTTTCAAATAACTCAGGCTGCCACATGCCCGAGGGACTTTTCACTTGTTTCCTCTCCCTGAAACGTTCTTCACTTGAAAACTCCTGTATGTCCTTGAAGTCTCTCATTGTACATGCAAGGCACTTTGCAATCTGGAACTCTCTTATTTATCCTGTATCTACATTTCCTACCACTGGGAGTGGCTTATAGCAGATGATCAACAAACTCTGGTTGTTATAAGTTCATTTAATTTCCCATAGTAATTAATCATCCTGAACATTTTTAAATTTACAATTAGAAAATTCCAGAGGTAATTTCCAGGCACCATTACCTCTGCAAACCTACCATCATTAGAATTCAACCGTGGCACTCTTAAGGATGAAAAGAAAGATAATAAAAGTCTTAAGTACAGACACGTAAGTAATGGAGATTAAGATAGCAGGATTGCCGGAAGCTCATAACTCTTGTTAAGAATTTTTAAAGCAAAGTTATCAAATCTCTGCACAGTGGAAAACCTATGTGTTTTGAATATAAATGTAGTTTTTTTCATGAAAATCATCTTTTCACTAGTGCCTGTACTTTAGATATTTGTGGCTAATGGCATTTCCCCAAAATTAAAAGTATGCTAGAAAAAAACTAAGATCATTCTAGGTTTATATTGGGTTGTTCTAGTTTGTTTTCTTCATCTAATCACCTATATGGTATGCTCTAGTATATGACTAAATCTAAGATTTATGTAAGATTATAAAATTTGGGGTATCTATATTTGTATCATAGTTCAACCATCACTGGAAGCTCATATCTCCATATGTGAGCAACACTGAGATAGGGTATTTAGGGCAGATTAGAGATTCTGTTTTGTCAATGAATGAATGAATGACAATGAATTTGAGGGCTCTGGATATGATCCTATCCTCCTATGCACCATGATACCAAAACCCCATTATTAAATATGTTGTCTCCTGAATTCACCGTATTTTGTCTTCAGGAATCCCCTCCACAATGCAAATGCCCAAGAAAGGTAATCATTAGACAACTAGTATATTATGCTTTCTATCAGATCAATCAAAGGAAGGGAATGCAACACAAAAAGATTTGAGCATAGACGTGAGGAAACTGACGATCGAAGGATTTCAGTAACTTAAAGTCATACACTTAGTAAGAACCAGAGTCAGGGTGTGAATCCAGATTTGTTCTGAAAACCACATGGACGTAGTGAGAGCACAGAGTGCTGCTCAGGGTAAATGGTCTGTCAGGTGCCCTGTGTGAAGTTATGCAGGAGGTGGAAAGCAAGGCTTTGGTCACATGGGACAGAGAGTATCAAGAGACCATTTCCCAGAGAAATGGAAAGCATGTGATATATAAATTCAGTATTTATCATGCTTTTATTTCAAATTATTCAGAAGAAGGGAAACTCCTCTTTTCTTTTACCTGCTGGCCCAATTTTCTGAATACCCTCCCTTTCCTGGAGATCACAGAAGGTGGCTGCACGCCAAGCCAAACATCTCTTCTGCTTAAGTTTTCCCCAGTCCTCTTTTCTGGCTGAGATACAGTGAGGAGGTGTATTGATTTCAGCTCAGATTCTCATCTGGGTCATTCAACCCGCATTCAGCAAGTGGCATTCTTTCACTGCTGGAGGCAGAGAGACACTGTCAGTCTCTCCCTGGAGGACAGTTGACTAAGTGTGGTAAGACTGTTTGCTGGCATCCCTTCCCTTGTCTGGGTTTGTTTTACATAACAGCATGCCACAGCTCTTCAAGGAACAATGCTGGAAATGCCCCTGGCTTCCCTTCTCCTGACATGTAGGAGGGAAACATGAGCATTTGCAAAATGCTGTTGCTCCAAACTCAGCTTTCAGCAGGCAGATAATAAATATTCCTCCATGCTGAGCTCCTTCCTCTCCTCTCCTCTCCCTCTTCTATCATATGGTTATCTATGACAGTGAAGCTCTGATACTGTACTTCGACTTTTTGAGGAGGCAGGATGAAAAGCAAGGGGCTTCAGTTTCATCATTTCTAGGATGGAAGAATTGAAGAAGTTGGTATCTAAATGTGCATAATTCTGTGGTCATGGTTATCCTGTTATTATTTCAGTATCATGGACCAAAATCTCTGTGCATGTCTTTTAATGGAATGCCATTGTGAGAAATTTTTAAATTAAGAATCAAGCAACTAAAATTCTACATCTAGATCTGGTACTAATTATGTGACCCTGGGTATATAATTTCAACTCTCTGAGTCGCAGTTACAGCTGGATTAGGTGATCCTTGATATTCTTTCTAACTGCAAATAGTCTATTATATACTTTCTTTTTTCCAGTTGGCATATCTTTTATTTACTTTAAAGTGATAGTATTTTAGAGAAATAATTTTAGAACTGAAAACACAGGAAGCCTTTTCGAATTTTATTAGTTGTTGATTGGTGTATTTTCTTAATAAGAACAATAGCCAAACTGGCATAGGAAAGCAAGAAAGTTTGTGATCAATGTTTATGTCACCAGAATTTTCTTTGCCTTTCTACAGAAGATAAGCTACATGAAATCTTGGTGAATTTGACATTGGGTAAGGTTACAGATTTTCCACAAAAGTTGATACATGGCAAACAAGAAAAGGGAGAGTTTGTTTTTCTCCTTGTTCAGAACACAAGTCTTAAAACATCACTAAGGGTATCTTTCTTAACGTGAAAAAGATTAAAATGCAAACCCAAACAAAGAACTGTAATACACAACTAGATTCTCAAGATTATAAGACCCTATGAGTTACGTGAAAACATTTAAAAAGTGAAAAAAAAAATGATAGTAACATTCAATAACATTTGTTAAGCACCCGGTCTGAGTCCTTGTGCTAAAACACCATAGGAATCATTTATTTAATCCATTCAACAAATCTATGAGATACAGATGATAATTTTTTCCATTTTCATCTGCGAAAAAAACAGACCGGACAAGTAAAGTAACATTTCTTGCTCAACATTATAAAGCAAATAAAGGTCAAACTAAGAAATAACAGGTTTTTTCTAAATTTTTCATCAAATGTTGTATTCCTTAAATTTCAAAAATAAATTTTAGAGCTTCCACTGTTAAAATTTGATACATATATTACATATGTCAATTTAAATAACAACACTATGAATTTTTAAATATTAAAATTATATTTAATGTTTACATAGGGTTTTCAGAGATCTATTATTTAATTGAATTTGTTATAATTTATAGGGAAGAGAAAGAGAATTAGAGAAGAGATCGGATTCACCCAAGATCACACAAAGTCACATATAGGCAGGAATTGGAAGCTAGGTCTGCTGACTTTGAATCTAGTACTTTGCCCACCAACACAGAAAGTTTCCTTTTTCAGAGAAGTTGAGCTTTTTCGAACCAACTCTATATAGTATGGTAAAGTGTACAGAGGTTTTAAAATATATATTGGCAATGATTTTTAACAGATATCTTAAAAATATCCTTGAATTTCACAAAATGAAAAACTTCCTGGGTGAAAGAATTCCATGGGGGCAGGGGTGTGATAGTTGAAAATCGAGTGCTTGAGAATAAAGAGCAAGTAAGGTCAAGTTTTTAAACCTATAATTTTGCAGAATATTCCCAGGAGTGATTTGACATCTTGGGGAACATTTTGTGATTTGACCTTTTGCAACCACTGCCTGCAGTTGCCTGAATTTGAACAATTATTTTTTTTCTAGCTGCTTTCAAAGCCATTTTAGAAGGCTTGGTATTCTGATAACATTAGGTTTCTCTACCTCTGTGGAGCCTTTTCTTTAAGAAAATGTCAGTGCCTGGGTTAGATTAATCAGGTCCGGCTTCAAATGCAAAGTTACCCAGGCTCATCAAAAGGGTGAAAATGACAAGAAAAATAAAGCGCTTCTACTAATACGCTTATTTCTCCAAAATAGGTTTCTGGGTTTGGCGTTATATTTATTAATGACATTTCTCTCTTTATCTCTTGATTTTGACCCATTTGTGAGATAGAATTGTAAATTGAAGAGATAGTATTCAAATATCATCTTGATTGCAGGTAACCTTGGTTTGTAGGATTCGTTTTTATTTACAGCTGGGATTCTTACTTTTTCTCCTCCAAGGCTAATATTTGGTATTTACCAGCTCAAGAGAGATGTGGATGTGGTAGAGCATACACTTGCTTGGAATAGCTGGCTGACACCCACTGAGTCCCCATAGAAGGCATGGAGAGAGACCATGAGGTCATCATCTAAACAGTAATCCATGCCTTGATTCAAGAGAGCTTATCAAATGAAGGACAAGAGCAAGGAATTATGAGATCCATTCAATAAGAAAACACCTAAGTGATGAAGTGTCTTAATTTCACCAAATAGATAACCAAAATGAGTAAAGTGAGAGGAGAAGCAGTGGAATCTTTTCTTTCCAATACTTCTAAAAGGGTGTATATTTCTGTTCACAGGTCAGGAAAAAATGAGGGAAGACAAAGGACATTATGACTCCTAAAGAGGAGTGTCCCCCACAGCAAGTCCAGCTGAATATGTGTACTATAGACTATAGTAAATGTTTCCTAAAAGCCTAGTTTCGTGATAATATATCTTTGGAAAATGCTAAGTTAAAGGCAAACATCTTCTAGTGCAGAAGCACATATGTGCTAATGTGCGTGGTGAACCTCCAGTGGTATCGCACGCTGTTTCACAAAAATCAAATGTTCCTGATTGAAGAAGTCATTATTTTTAGCATATTATGAAACCAATGTTCAATGAAAAATATTACTTAGAAACATCACTTTAAGAGTATTCCCAACTATACTCTTCTTCTTTCTCCTCCACTGTATTCTCTTCTTTCTTTTTTGTAATATTTTAAATTCTGGTGGTTCTCAAACTTTGGTAGGAATATTAAACAAGGAATGAAATAAGCTATGAGCTGAAAGAACAAAAATTTGCAAGATTTATAATTATTAAGGATTACAAATTATTTATAAAGACTAAACTTATATAGAATAAATATTTATAAAGACTTTTAACATGCATACTATCAATCCACAAGATAGCATCCATCTGAATATAATCTGAATCCACGTGCCATGATTCAAATGTCCCCCAGTGTTCGTACTGCCCTTCCAAACTTTGCAGCTGTTAACTTGTTAGAATTATTGAAAAATAATTGGTAAGCCTTGGATTTAGGGTCAAAATGTGGTGAGACACCTACTCCAATATTAGTAGCTATAAGGAAGTTACCACAAATTTGAATATGTGTATACTAGTCAGTGAAATATTCTAATAGTAAAACTTAGGTTTTGGGTGGCATTCAGAGTTCCTAGTAGAGCCTTCGGCACCTAGGAGAAAATAAAAAATGGTGGTAATTACAACAAATATTGATTAATTACAACCAGTTATTGCAACAGGTATTGCAAGAACTCTGTCAGGTTGCTATGGAGAATTTTGTCATCTCTATTTTACAAAATAGGAAACTGAGTCTCAGATTGGTTACTTAAAATAACCTCCTAATATCACAAATTAGTTTTTGACCAATTTGGGACACGAACTTGGTTCTTACTAAATATACTGTCCTGTTTTTATAAATTGATGGATACCAAGCAATTTTTAAGGAGAACAAGATTCTATCTCCAGAGTAGATGGAAAAAGTTGTTCCCCGTGGATAAGGCATCTGTTTTTCAGGACAGACCTGTGGACCAGGCATTTTTCTGTTGAGAATTCTTTGTTCTTTCAACACATCACAAATAGAATTTCTACTCATTTTCTCTGTGAAATGCAGTCTCATCATTTCTATGTCAGAAGGGCAAAATGTAACATATCAACCCCAACTCTGTGGCTCTGGGATTACAACTCTGACAAATCAATTATAATCTCTTACTCAAAGGAGCATATCTAGCACTTACCTAACTATATATGGTTGAGTAGAAGTAAATGACTGCAACATTTCTCAGAATTTATCAGGTCTTCACTGACACCTCTGTAGATCCCATTTTCTCTATTAAAGCTAATTTTCTCATCAAAGTTAATAGATGCAACTAGACTATTATATCTGCTTCTTATTGGCACCTCTCTTCTGAAGTGCTGAAACTATTTCCATTGAACCATGAGAGCTAAGAATGGAATATGAATTCACATTTTAAAATTTCTCCTGAAATGGGACTTCTGCAAAAGGTAAATTAGATCTGTTAGTGTCACAACCATACTCTATACAAACATTAAGTACATATAAAAGAATATTTTGTTACCTTCTGACAAAACCTGTTGGTATGTAATTAGTCTGTTCCTCAGAAATTGAGTTGAACAAAACAGCATAATTTTACTAATGCAAATATGTGAGCTCTAATAATGTATTACTGGCTCTAACAGTGGGTGACTGTAATAGTGTATTACTGGCTTTCATGGATGCATTAATATTAGTAGAAACAAGCATAAGATTGGCTACTTTACTATTACTCCTGAAGCCTGAAGGTAGCCTTTTAACAAAGGAAAAAAAAATCACTCAACAGGAATATCACCTACCAATGTCACAGAAGTTATTCTTCAAATCGACTGTCCTCAAAAAGCTCTATGTACCACTTTTTCTATACTCTGTGTTCGAAAGATGACAAAACACTTTGCCTACTATTAGCAAATGTGTTTCTCACAATAGCCTTAGCAATAAGTTTGTTTATTCCTACTTTAGTGGGAGAATTTAAACAACTTACTCGCATTTCTGTACCTTATTATCATGATTGCATGTGCTTTAATCCTGGGACTAGATCTGCTACTGTGAATTGCCCTGCGTTTATGTAAAACATGTTTTAATATCTAGTTAGATGTTTGCAGGAGTTACAGTTAATTATACCAGGAAATTGCTGTCTCTTTCGATGGATCAAAGTAGCAAATGTATTCATTTGTAGCTGTAGTTTTAGATTTCTGAGCTGGAGTTGTTTTATTTATGTATATCCCAAGGTGAACATATTTGCTGCATTTTTTTGAACTTGACTATGGACTCAGACAAATGAATAGCATTACAAAATTCCACATTGGGCTAGGCATCTGTGGTAGCTTTTTTGGAGGGTGAGAAAGGGAACCTCTTGCATAAAGAGAATTTTCTAGTAAAGGAAGGCAGAAAACTGGGATATCAGCAAAGACCTAGCTCCATGAACCTAGAGAAAACCACTACATTTGGAGGCTTTGCAAATACTGAGCTTTCTTTCATCTAAAGCTATCCGCCAAGAGAAAATGTCTGCTTTTGTTGAGGCAGAGGCAGGCTGGTATTCCAGACAAATGAGTTTTCAGCTTCCTAAAGCTAATACGTGCATTATATAATGTTCAAGAGTAAATGAAGGCTCTGTTTGTCATTGAGGGCCCCAGTTATCCAAACCAGCTTTCTATATTAACCACATTCTTGACATTCAACAATTAGTCAGCTTTCCACATTGTTTTTGTTTGTTTTCTTTGGATTTATCATCATAGTCCTAACCACTGATTTAGAACACAGAGGCTATTTTCTACAGAAGGAGTATGGGTTTATAAGGCAGGATTCTTAGGCCTGCCAGTAGGTAGCTCTGTCTCTTTGGATAAAGCATCCTTCTTTGATGAACGTCAACTGCTTAATCTTTAAGAGGATAGAATTGGTTGGTATAGATTTATTCTAAGACACTTTCTAACTCTCTTTTTTGAATACTTAGTAAGTTTCTCCTATGTTTATTATGGGTCAGAACAGTGTTTAATCATATTTCATAGATTACTCTGCTTTGACATAACTGACATTAACGTACCATCCTATGTGCCAGGAATTGTACCAAGAATGGTATGTATATTAACTCTTTTTATGTTCACAATATCACTGTGAAGTGGATTCTATTATTATTCTTACTTTACAGATAAAGAAGTTGAGACTCAGAGACATAGAAAAGTTGCCTGAAATCACACAATCAGTTAGTGACAGGATTCGAATTTTGAACCCAGTTAATCTGATATTTGCCCTTGCAGTGGACACTGTTGATGCCCCTGCCACCCTATCACCTTTCTTGAACTCACACACCCATCTCTCAGATGCTTAGGGGTTGGCTGCTGACAGCTCACTACTTGCCACTTTTTCTAGAGAAATACCACTGGCCAAAATAAAGCCATCTCAGCTAAGAGACGAAGACCATCCCTCCTCAGCAGCCTGCAGGGAACACATTACTGCTCTCCTTCTAGGGAAAATGATTCAAACCAGTTCCCATTCTTCAGTATAGTTCTCCACTCCTGCCCTCGGTGGATATTCAGATGGAGTCTTTAAAGGATAAATTTAAACCAGAAAAATTATGTGAATGCACTTTTTAAAATTATATTTCCCTCAATTGCTATTTTGTTCTTCACGAACTTAATAGATGAAATCAGAACGGCAAAGTTTTTAAACAAAAACACACCTAGTAGACTTGGCACACTGTGGTGCTTGTGTTTTAGCAGCCAAACCCATTTGTTCTCTTCTTTCACTAATTGGATCTGGCTGAGAATCTCAAATCACCAAATAATACTTTACTAAACATAATGCAGCCACTCTGATAAAGCTGATTTCCCTTCTCTCTTTTTTTTTTCTTGGCAAGCATTTAGGATTGCTAACAGCTCACTGTGACCTTATATCCATTGACACTAAGTTCAGCAAAAATTTTTCCAGAAGCAGTAATTTGTAATGTAAAAGTTTAATATCTTAAAAGCCAATGTTGATCTCCACTTTGGTCTTAAAGACTTTTGGTGTATAGCTCATCTAGAATTTTCTTCATGTCATACAGAGCTAAAGCATTTATTTATGTAACAAATAATTGTGGAATTCCCTCTATGTCCCAGGCACTGTGCTAGATGCTCAGAATAAAATAGTGAGCAAAATAGCTAGAGCTACATCCCTTATGGAACTCATAAAATAATTATAATCTAGAGTATAATCCAGTATTCACCATCATATATTTTTATTGTGATCTTACTGAGCTCTTACTATGATGTCTTACTGAGGACATTTGATGTAATAAGAGCTTCTTTCATGATGAGATACATTAATTGACGTTTGAAAAATAAATGGAGTTAAGTGAGTAAAGAAAGATGGGATATTAGAGTTGAGGCCAGAGGAGGCAGCAGGTGAAAGAACCCTGTGGGAAGAGGAAGCAGGGTGAGGAAGGCATGTAAAGAACTACAAGAACCCCAATCAGTGAAGAATCACTATTTAATATGAGTCCGGGAATATAGTGAGGGAAAAACAAAACAAAACAAAACAACATATGAAGCCCTAGAGAACAAGTTAAAGAATTTTAGTGTGACCTGATATCAATGGGCAATTATTGAAGAGTCTGGAGGTATTTATATGTATAGGCATGATCAGAGGGTAGAGAACATTTCAGAAGTTGAGAGCAACATATTGCAAACAAGGTCAAAATAATGAGAATTTTCCCCTTGGAAAAGCAGAAAATAAATCATATGGCTGAGCTAAAAGTGGGGAGATTATAAAGCTGGGATGGTTCAGGATGGATCAAGCAAACTGGGCCAGAATCACACGTTAAGCAGTGCGAATTTCATACTGAGGTGCTCAAGGGGAATGACCTGAACAAATATGTACTCTAGAAAGAAAAGCTTGGTTTAGCACTGTCCAATTGAATGTTCCATGATGAAGGAACTGCTCTACAATCTGTACCGTCCAATACACTAGTCACTAGCTACATGTAGCTCTCGCGCACTTGAAATGTGGTTTGTGTAACTAAGAAAGTAAATTTAATTTTTTAAAGTATGTTTAATATGGCTACCATTTTAGATAGGACAGGTGTAGTCGCATTGTGGAATATATGTGTGTGGGGTGGTGGTGGTGGTGGTGGTGGCATAGGTGGTCAGAAAGTTGGAATGAAGAAAAGGGGTAAAGAGATTATTCAGCAATCTAGGGGAGAGATGATGGCAGGAAGAATAAAGATGGAAAAATCATAGAGGCAAGAAATAAAAACATTTAATTTACTTGTCTAGGGCTCAGAGGACACAAATAGAATAATAAGAGAGAAAGACCTAGGTTAAATTTAGATTACCCATAGCCTTGATGCCAGGTTTAGAAGCCTGGGCTTTCTCCGAAGAGGAGCGTGGACCTATTTAAGTTTAGTGAACATAGGTTTCTTTACTCAGAATTTTCAAAAATGTGCCTGTCAGAAAGTTTAATTGTGGTGTGTAAGATAAATTAGCATGTGTCTGTTATATGAGAACTCTTGTGCCATTATGCAGCAGTGACTTTCTTGGCCTGACAACTCCTTGATGGCAAAAGCTAGAGCTTAGCTATATATTTTTTCCCTCTCTTGACCTCACAGGACCTGGTTGGCAGGAGATATTGAATGTACTCCAGAAGAGTTAATGAGAGAATAAACAACCCCGAGAATGGTGGGCAGGTGATGAATGCAGAAACTGCTTGAGAGTAGCCTTTATAGAAGTTTGCAACTGATTAATTTGGAAATCTTTTATCCACAAAAATGTTCTGGATCCCTTAAGCTCAGGGATTGGGATTCTGCCGAAAGACTGAGTATTCTACCTAGACTTCTAGGCACATAAAAAACCGTGGGAAAATTTTGGTGCCAATTGCATGGAAATATTTGAAAACTTTTTGTTTCTGTAGTGTTTATCCAAGAAATTTTAAAATAAAATATGTTTTTTATATACTTTCAGATTATCTTCCTAAAAGTTCACATCATTGTGTATCCCCACCAACAGTGTGTACCTCTGATCCCTGTCCACATCTTTTCAGGACCAAACATTACCAAGGAATTTATTTTTTCCTCAATCTGACAGGCTAAAAATGAAATACTATTATTTGACTTTGAATTTCACTGATCCCTTCTGAAGTTGAGTTTTCAAATATTTTGTATTTATAAGTTCTTCATTCCTTTTTTTAGCTTAGTTAAAAATTTAGGGTTTTTTTTCTCAATGACAAATGGGAATTCTTTATGTACTGGTCATATTAGCCTTTGAATTCTTATTTATTTTGGAAATATCTCACCACACTCAAATGTGGCGTTTTGCCCTTTAAAACTAGTTAGAGCACTCTTTCTTTTTCTTTTCTTTTCTTTCTTTATTTCTTTTTTTCTTTTTGAAACAAAGTCTCACTCTGTCACCCACACTGGAGTGCAGGAGTCTGAGGTGAAGTAGAAAGATCTCCACCCACCCACTGCAACCTGCAACCTCCACGTCCCAGGCTCAAGGGATCCTCCCACCTCAGTCCCTGGAGTAGCTGGGACTACAGGTGCATGCCACCACGCCTGGCTAATTTTTGGTATTTTTTTTTTTTTGTAGTGATAGATTTTCACTACGTTGCCCAGGCTGGTGTTGAACTCCTGGACTCAAGCAATCCATGTACCTTGTGCTCCCCAAGTGAGGGGATTCCAAGTGCGAGCCACCGTGCCCTCACTGCAGTCTTGATAACACAGAAGTCTGACATTTTACACAGTCGACCCCATAACTTTTTTCCTTTATGCCTTTTAAATTTTATGTTATACTTGACAAAGCTTTTTCCACACTAAGATTATATAGATATTCTATAGTTTTCATTCTGTAGTATTTATATTCACTCATAAATTTGGATCTTTGTTCCATCTTAAATTTATTTTGTGTATTAGAGTGAGGTACAGATCTAATTTCAGAAAACAATTTTCCCAAATGAAAACTCAATCAACTGTCCTGCAAGCCTTTGGTCAAAATCAGCCTCATGGAATTATGTCCCCAATTCAAGTGTTTAATGAGGGATGCAAAAGCTAGATAGAATGCATTGTCCCAGAACATCTCTCTGTCTATCTGGGTTGTAGAAAAAGAATAATCTTATGTCCTTTTAACACATTTAATTTAGAATCAGTTATGAGGCCCCCTATGTCTTAATCTCCGCATTACCTAATACACTGCTCTATGCATAGCAGTGATTCAAAATATCTGTGGACTTAAAAAAGGAGCTAGAAAAAGGAATGTAAAGAAGAGTACAACACTATTTATGCCTTCAAAGTTAACCTAGTAGAATAAGATACACTTTATTCAACTATCTTTTAGTTGAATAAGAGTGACGAGAGAGGCACAAACTGAAGATATATTTGATACTTCATTTTTTCACCATCCTGATAAAGCATTTAGGATATTTACAGATAATATATGCAAACCATTCAGCCCAGTGTCTACACATAGTAGGCTTTCATGACTGGTAACTTGAAAATTATTTTCTATTATTTCAGGGGTTCAATAGAGGGAAAGACTTCTTTACCATGGAATCTTCAAGTTTTTAAGATGAGATAGTTTCATGTGGAAAATGAGAACCTAAACGCTCCACTAAATATTAAATTTTAAAACTATCGTATGGTTATTTACCACTACAACTTAAAAAAAAAAACCTGCCATTGATAGTCTTTTCCTAAAAGTAGACATAAGAATCTCACACACAAAAAAGATAAACATTAATGGATGTTGTTTCAAATTATATGTCTCCGCTCTTCAATCATAGCCTTCATCTATAAACTCTAAATTAAGACCAAAGCAGGAATTAAACTCATACATAAAATACTGTAACTTTAATGTCATATGTTAGGATAAATCAATAGGAGGAATAAATCTGAAGTGGCAGAAGTAACCACCTTTGACTTGCTTGGCATTTAAACCTTTTGGGCTTGGGAAATCCACTGATGCCGCACTTTAAGGGGATTTGATTTTATAGGCTCTTTAGCCCAAGAGTTTTCAGGAATACAAAAAGCGACGTGGCCTTGGAGATATGACAGGTGTCAGGCTGTCACTGTGAAGCTGCTTTGCTTTTAATGGCTTGTTCTCAAATTTGAATCCATAATCCACTGGTAGAAAAGCTGTAGACTTGCTGGCAAAGATGAGAGATGCTCAGAAGCCATTACCTTATAATAGAAATTGGTAGATAAGTGGACCATGGAAGTTTAGACTCTGACCTAAAGGGAAGTGGATAATTGCATTGAGGTAATTATCTTGTTAACTTTGGACAAAATTAAAGTTCACCTTTAAAAGTGCCAGATCATTAATACCAAAGTGCAGATCTTCATTCACTTACATGATAAGGTAAAAAGAAGTTACTAAAATTGTCTAGCTTTATTTAAAACATGATAATTCGTAATTTTTTATTTAAACACATTTAAAATGTGCAGAAAGCTCAAGGACTGGGAAAATAGGAGAAAAGGTACCCCTGAATATTATTATTTAAATGAAAAACCTTCCTTTATTACTTTGCTTTTCCTATCTGGAATAAGAGAGGATGCATTTGCCTTTAGTATTCTGATCAAAGAAATGAGAAAGAAAAAGATGGATGTTAATAGAGGTCATCTCAAATTAAATCTTTTTACTCTTCAGTCATAGCCTGTGCCTGTTATATTCTAAATTAGGACAAAAGCAGGGACCAAACTAATTTATGAAATGCTATGGCTTTAAATAGCTTATGTTCAATAAATTAACACAGAGAAGCATATGCTGTGGGAATTAGATAAAATCTATTATCATTGATAAAAAATTTCTATCTTCAAGTCTTTAGGCACAGTTGCTAGATAATTGCTACTTATTGATCTCTGGGAGGAAACTGATGTCCCATTGGAAGCCTAATTCCCTGATCAGTGCTAGGTCATGATCACTACCTCAGCCAGGTCTGACTTAAACAAGTAACTGTATGCCAATCTAACAAAAGGCAGTGTTAAGAGGCATTCAAAACCCCACTTAGGAAATATTGCAAGGTTAGGGGACAGTCTACTCCCTCAAAGAGCAGCCAATAAAGGCCTTTCTATTTCAGCAGCTTTGAGGGGTATGGGGTGAAGCTTGAGAGTGGGAAAGAAAAACTAGACTGAGTAGTAATAACTCACCCCGCTAATTCAATCTTCTCTGCATGAGGCTTGTAGGGCACCTTATTTTCAAATCAGATCAAATCAGCCAAGTAAGTAGGGAAACGTAGGCACAAAGCCAACTAATCAAGCTAAAAGATATGATTTGAATTTAATTATCTATGTATTTTACAGCAAAATATAATTTAGCAAAGAAAAAAGAAGCAACATTTGAAAAGCTATCTCATTTATTCATCTCACATTGTGAGTGCAGATACAATATTTGAAACTGATATTCTCTAAGAATATTTTAAAAAGATGTAGTAACTGAGATGTGTTTCTCTAATATATTTTCTGATTTTAAAAACTAAAATGCTTTAAAATTTTACTTGGGATGATTCAAAATGAATGACGTGAAATTTTAAGAGCAACTTATGCATCATGACTTTAAAAAGAGACTTCAAATTGTGTCACAATAAATTGTTCTCATGCATCGCTACATGGTTATTCCTTTATTCTTTTAGTAGTGTTTCTTAATATATTCTCTGGATTATTTACATACATTTTGCTTCTTTTTTTTGTTTGTTTCTTTTCTTTTTTTAGAAGGAGTCTCACTGTGTTGCCCAGGCTGTAGTGCAGTGGCGCCATCTCGGCTCACTGCAAGCTCCGCCTCCCGGGTTCACGCCATTCTCCTGCCTAAGCCTCCCGAGTAGCTGGGACTACAGGCGCCCGCCACACCACCAGGCTAATTTTTTGTATTTTTTAGTAGAGACGGGGTTTCACCGTGTTAGCCAGGATGGTCTCGATTTCCTGACCTCATGATCCGCCCTCCTCGGCCTCCCAAAGTGCTGGGATTACAGGCGTGAGCCACCGCACCCAGCCAAATTTTGCTTTTTAATTCAAATGTTCCATAATATATCTTCTTGATTTTTAGAGAATTTTATGTGTACGATTTACAAAGGCATTAATTCATTTGCACGATTACTTGACAAATGTTACTGAATGCCTGTTTTGAGTCATGCAGAATGCTAACTACTAGTTTGCAATGGTGAGCTTAAATGGGAACTGTTTGTAGACTCATGCAGATAAAGTCCAGTAGGGGGAAAGATACTGCAAAAATCACCACACAAATGAATATACACTTAAAATGTAAAGTAACTGCCATAAAGGAAAACCATGTGATTCAATGAACATGTGAAAAAATGTCTCATCATAGGAATTTAGTTATAAATTCTGAGTAAAATATTCATTTATTAGTGTCAAGCACCAGGATATCCTTGTATGTTTTTTATAAAGATTTTGTCCTAAGAAATGAGAGGAAATTGTTACAAAACCTAGAATGAATTGCAGACAAGATACGCACAATGTAGAAATACTGTTCCCTACCCTCCTCACCAAACATTTTTATAATGTTTGTGAAGTAGGAAGAAAGGACGTCAGAAAGCACAGAAAGAAGAAAATATGATCAGTATGCTAAAAATGTTTCCTTCCATCTAGTAGACAAATTGCTCTAAAAGAGTTGGGATTCAGTTCAGGTTGTGTTTCATTTTTGTTTTTTAACCCAAGCGGGCAAAAATAGTTTTCAACATACCACTTGTAGAAAACTCTTAATTTAAATGTGTGTGCATAACCATTAAATACATGCTTAGTTTTAATGTTTTCCAGTGATTGATAAAGGGTTGTATGGTGTTATCTTTGGTCTGTTCCAGGAGATTATGTGGTCATGTCTGTCTACTTTGATCTGAGCAGAAGAATGGGATACTTTACCATCCAGACCTATATCCCCTGCACACTCATTGTCGTCCTATCCTGGGTGTCTTTCTGGATCAATAAGGATGCTGTTCCAGCCAGAACATCTTTAGGTGAGACACCTTTGTTTATGTTGCAGTTTCTCAAGATAAGTACCAAATACAAGTAATTTTTATGTCCATTTCTATGTTGATCTGCTTTAAATTTAGCCTGCAATTGCATAGAAATACCATTTGTTTCATATTCAAGAGAACTGGCATTTTTAATTCACAATAGCAAAGACTTGGAACCAACCCAAATGTCCATCAATGATAGACTGGATTAAGAAAATGTGGCACATATACACCATGGAATACTATGCAGCCATAAAAAATGATGAGTTCATGTCCTTTGTAGGGACATGGATGAAGCTGGAAACCATCATTCTCAGCAAACTATCGCAAGGACAAAAAACCAAACACTGCATGTTCTCACTCATAGGTGGGAATTGAACAATGAGAACACATGCACATAGGAAGGGGAACATCACACACCGGGGCCTGTTGTGGGGTGGAGGGATTGGGGAGGAAAAGCATTAGGAGATATACCTAATGTTAAATGACGAGTTAATGGGTGCAGCACACCAGCATGGCACATGTATACATATGTAACAAACCTGCACGTTGTGCACATGTACCCTAAAACTTAAAGCATAATAAAAAAAAAAAAAAGATTTTTTTACTTCTATAGTTGGGTTCTCCTTAGTTACCTTGATAGGTTTTCTTGAGTAACTTTTCTTAAGAAATTTTAGTTAACTATTTTTTAAAAACTGTTTTAATATTAACAGATGTGTTTGTTTAGTTCTCTGGATAATATGCTGAAGCTGCTTGCACCAGCTCATGAAAGTTGATTGTGTTTATCTCTTCCCAACTTGGTATTCGGTGATGCCACATTGTTAATGTGAAATCACCCAAGGAGGAAATATTAACAACATGGAAACAAAAGTCAGGGCCTTCTTTTTTCTAGAGTTAATTGTTACACATTCACCAGCACGCCATTGGCTGTTGGCTATTCCCCACGAGTAATTATTGGGATAACATTTGAAGTAATCGGCTCTTTACAGAACAGCGATGGAAAAAATTATTTTTGAGAAAACATATTTACCTGTGAAATTTTTGGGGGAAAAGCGACTCTTAAGATTATTTGCAATTTGCTCAATCTAATATATATGGTGATCTTTGTCTTGAATTTTCACATCTGTTTCTTCACATGGGGAAGAAGACTCACACAGACTAAAACAAAGCCCAACACATGAAACTTTTTAAAACCTTAACTAAAAATAAAGCTAGTGGACGTGAACAAAATTCAACACCCTTTCATCAGCTATGTAAAACCTAGAACCACATCCCTTGCTAACTGTCTAAAGAGTCAGTAGGGTGTAATAGCTAGGAAATTGGGTTTTGGAGTCCCACAAATATGGGTTTGACATCACACATTTAGGATAACATTAGAATGTCATTTAATCTCTAATTCACAGTTTCCTCATATATAAAACATGTATAATTTCCTGTACCTAACTTATTGGGTTCTACTAGGGTTAAAGTATTCGATGCAAATTGCACATAAATAGTAAAGCCTCAGAAATGTTGGCTACTATAGTCATTTTCTGACAAAATGGTCTGTACTAAGTTATTAAGCTGAGGGCAGAAGTGATTACTGGGGGAAAAGACATCATTTGCATATCTGTCCTCTTCCAAACCTAATTTAGTTTCCCATCTGTTTCAAAAGAAAGTTATTTTGATTTTTCCTGTTATATGTGGTACTTTGTGTTACAAGTCCTTCTCAAAAATTAAAATATCTTGTCTAATGCTACACGCTGAAACAAACCCCAAATATGTTGAGCCTATTACTTTCGGACTATTACTTGTCACTATGAACAGATACATACTGTATTACAAGCTTCTATGTCTGTCATCAGAATGTCAGTCTTGTACATCTCTAGTACAGTGCCTGGAACATGGCTGGTACCTCAAATAATTGTTCAATTGATGTATACACTTATGTATGGCTGGAGCAAATACATTGATGTATTCTAATCCACCCTCTTCCCAAAAACATTTTAAGGAAGAGATTTCCAATCAATCTGTCCTCTTGAAGCCTGGATTCTTGCTGGCCAAAATCTCTCTCATGACTTCTTGGGTAACTCATTTAACCCACTCAGTAAATAAGTGTTCACTGGCAAAGGATCATGGTGGAAGAAGGGATCAAAGTGAGTGAGTTTTGGAATGAGCAAGAGGCCCTTAAGCAAATAGCAGATAGGTGCTTCTACTTGTTTGTAATTTGTAAGTCAGGAATGCTCAATATGGTCTCTATGTCTTTTCTATTCTTCACAACACCTGCATGTAGAAGTTGCTGTAATGATCATTATTATCACAATTTTTAGAGCTGAGCTAAGGAAGTAGAGGTGCTGCAAGGTTAGATGACATCCACAAAGTCACAGCATAAGGAGGTAGTAGATCTGCACCTCAGCTGATGAGACATAGGTTTGCTCTGGGTAGGAGGCCTTGGTGAAGACCAATTGTAGGTACAGGTGAGAAGCGGAGCTGAGCCAGTTTCTCTATTTTAACTTTGCTGTCTCAGTTTTCTAGATCAGTGCTCCTTAAATTTAATTGAACATTTAAGTCACTAGAGGACTTTTTGAAGTGCAGATTCCTTAGTTCAACCCCAGGAAATGCTTATCTAATGTGTCTAGAACGTGACTTAGGAGTTAGGATTGAAAAACAAACAAACAAAAAATCCACAGGTGATTCAAACGTGCAGTCGCCTTTTAGAACCCTGCTCTAGACTTCATTGAGTCCCATTACTTTTCTCAATGTTTACAATCCAGAGTTAAATGAGAGGACCTTAAGCACACGCAGACCTTAAGCTTCTTGCCACGGAACAGTTAGGCCATCTTGTTTGATGAGCAAGATAAATTTATCCACGTTGACTCAGAGATACTGGCTGTTTTCTGAGCACAGAGTCCTAGAGTATGGGCAGCCACCATCTTGGAGCATATAAAAGTGAATGTAGTTTGGTGCCCAGGTGGTAGTTGGTGAGGCTTATTTCTGGTGTAGTGACAATGAATGAAATGAAAATACCATTTGGTACTTGTCACCTAACTGCTTTGAGGTGAGGTAACATCCCTGAAGAGCTTACTTCATGCCAAGACTGGAGGAACTGGTAAAAGCTATGGATATATTTCATCCACCCAGGTAAGATAAGTCTAACTTATTTACTTATCAAAATGGAAGCTGTCTTATTGTTGGTTGAGGAGACAATATAAACCATCCCTACTCTGCCTCTCACTATTGATGTCATTGCAGTCTCTTTCCTGTGGCTCCAGGCAGAGCCCTGAAAATATCATGAGGCAATTCTTCAAGAGTCTACTTCTACATGGCTTTGATGAATGCCTATGTAGCCTAAATAACATTTTCCCAATTTGCTGGAACAGTATTTAACTTGCATGTCAAAATTTGTTTCTCCCAAATTATCACATGCCACATTTTAAAAAAATTAACTCATCTACAGTACCTACCATAAATACTGACATTTTCACTTGTCGAGGGTCAAGTATAGCCTCAGGCCTGATTGTAAAATGAAGGCCACAGTGCCAATTTAGTTTTTCAGTCCTCTGCAAAAATATCAGTTGTGATTAGGTACAATGAGAAACTTACATGAATTAATGCATAGACAACCTAATAAAATGATTTTTAGTTAAGAAATAGAACTTTCTTTTCTAAAATAAAAACTATCAATACCTAATATTTATTAGGATTTTACAAGGTATTGGTACCCTATGCACATTTTTAAATTTAATCTTTACTGGAGACTTATAAGGTTCTCCATCATTACCACCACCACTCCCAGTTTGTAGATGAGGATCTCAAACCTCCCTAAGGTTCTACCATGATAATATGGAAGACGCCAGACCCATATCACCTCCCCAGTCAGGAATCTACAATAGGTCCCATCTGTCTGGCACTTCATGCCACATATTTTTCATGTATTTATGGAGCTAAAATACTGTGGTTCAGAGCACAGCATTTGAAGTCGGGCTGCCTAGGTTTGTATCTCATCTCTACCACTTACTATCTTGAACAAGTTTTTATTCCTCCAATGCTCACTGTTTGTCACCTGTAAAAATAATAATAATAGTAATAATAATACTTACATTATAGAAGCATTATGAGGATCTTGTGAGATAATAGAAAGTGCTTGGCACAGTATCTGGTCAAAGAAAAAGATCAATAAATCTTAACTACTTTATTTGCAATTAAAAATATCTCCCAAAAGTCATAATTATGGATTCCTATTCTCAAACATAGATTGAGCATCTTTGATCTTTCATGTATATACTATGCATTGGCTCACTGTTTCACACATTCATTGAACAAACATTTATTGAGTCCCAGCATGATGCTCCACTGTGGGATTATAGTAGTCATTTAGACAGATTCTGTTTTCATAGAGTGTATAGATTAGAAAGGGAGATTGGTTATTACATAATCAGGAATAGTATAGGAAAGGGCCAATGGTATTTATAAACATAGTTCCCTTGATCATCTCTTTCCTGTATTAAAGGCTACCCTTCCTCTATAGCTATTTAAACCAACATCAGTCTTTCCACTGTCTGAAATTGCATAACAAGTACGTATTTAGGAAACTTTCATACTAAGCTACAACTAAATGACCCAAGAGAACCACATGGTTCTTGGAAATGTAGCTGAACTCTTCAAAAATGGCTCAGACAAAGACTTGAACTGATTAGGGAGACAACAGTAATTTTATTTCCTCTTACTTATCCTTTATTCAAGAGTGTTTTTGCTTTTCTCAATTTTCTTCTAAGCATGTTCTACCAGTTACCTACTTATGAGAGAATAAGAGCTTTACATCTTTTCCTGTATGACACTGGTGCTTTTCTCAGTATCTTCCTCTTCTCTTGCCCTCCAAGTCTCTCTACCTCTTTCTTTCTCTTTCTTTCTTTCTTCCTTCTTTCTTTCTCTTTCTTTCTTCTTTCTTTCTCTTTATTTCTTTCTTTCATTCTTTCTTTTTTCTTTTTCTTTCTCCTTTCTTTCTTTCTTTTTCCTTCCTTCCTTCCTTCCTTTCCTTCCCTCCTTCCTTCCTCTGTCTCTCTTTCTGTCTGTCTGTCTTTCTTTTTGACAGAGTTTTTACTCTTGTCACCCAGGCCGGAGTGCAATGCCACGATTTCAGCTCATTGCAACCCCCGCCTCCCGTGTTCAAGTGATTCTCCTGCCTCAGCCCCTCGAGTAGCTGGGATTACAGGCACCCACCACCAAGCCCAGCTAACTTTTTGTATTTTTAGTAGAGACAAGGTTTCACTATGTTGGTCAGGCTGGTCTCAAATTCCTGACCTCCTGATCCACCCACCTCGGCCTCCCAGAGTACTGGGATTTCAGGTGTGAGCCACCATGCCTGGCCCGACCTGTTTCGAAGTTTCCCTAGCACTTCCTTTTGACAGAGGAGAATCTGGCTGTCCCCTAGAAGTCTCTTGGTTAGCAGTAATAGTCAGAATTGCACATCTTTAAATGATGCAAACTTTATTTTTCTTTTCTGTCCCCCGTAAGAAATATAAATAACAAAACCTGGTAAAAGTTGGGATTATTGCTTTTAGAGTACAGAAAGATGCCTCCACTCAGGATTAGAAATGCCAAACTAGAATCGTAGAATGGTAAGATAGGTGGACCTTCAAAGAGTTAGTCCCACAGATGAGAAAACTGAGGCCTAGAGTGTTAAGATAACTTAAGTTCCTATAGCAAGAGCTAGAACCTATTTGAATACTGAATCCATTTTGCCTTTAGTATAAATTACACAACTTTTACATAAGAGAGCTCCTCATCCTTCTCTGGTTGATAAATATAGGTTGTCTTGACATTGTTCCCTGTCACTAAACAACCACTGGAGAGGACAGGTTTGGATAGGTGCTTTTGTATAATTAGTAAAGTATGAGCTTTGAAATCACTCATGTAATTTCTGTGTTCAATTCTGTCTGCTACTTACCAACTATTGGATGTGGTACTGGTCCTTTAGCCTTGTTCTTCTGATCTATAAATTCAGAATGAAAATACCTGCTGTGAAGATTCAAAGAAACAATGTATATGAAGCGCTTATCACTGCCCTTGGCAGAAGGAAGTTTTCAGTAAATATTACCTATTATGTTACTTCTGAGATACTTATTTTAATCCTATAATAATCTAAAAAGAATCCATCAATCAGAGCATGTCACTTACACATAACCCACCTCCTCTATTTAGCATCTTTGAATAATTTCTCCCTGCAATTGGAATAAAATGTAAACTGTCTGCATGTGCCACATTTTATAACTTCCTTTTTATCAAAATAATTTTAATCCCCTTGTCCCTTCCCAGGTGCCAGGTCTTCTAAAAATTTAAATAACAGACAAGGTTTCTCTTTCTCAGAACCCTCCCTTAATTTAATAATGATCAAAAGGTTAGTTTCTTCTTACATTTTAAGCTTTACTTTAAACATCAACCCCTCAAAAAGGTCTTCTCTGAGCATTCCATCTAACTAGCTTCTCACCATCCCTGTATTCTCCATGGCACATACCATAATGTAACATTATACTTTTCTCTGCTGACATGATTCACAGTATATCTCTCTCACTAAAATATAAGGTACACAAAGGCCAGACCAAATCTATTCATCAGTGTTTGTCATTTCAACTGATACATAGTAGACAGGCAATAAATATTTGTAAATAGAGTGAATTAAATCCACTTATACCTCCTTTCCCATTGCTGAAACTGCCCATCAGAAGTCATGAAACAATGTAGTCTCACGAGTGACTCAGTTACCCAACTTGCTTATGCAATCACATGACCTGTATTATTACACCTCTCTTCAGGTATCACCACTGTCCTGACAATGACCACCCTCAGCACCATTGCCCGGAAATCGCTCCCCAAGGTCTCCTATGTCACAGCGATGGATCTCTTTGTATCTGTTTGTTTCATCTTTGTCTTCTCTGCTCTGGTGGAGTATGGCACCTTGCATTATTTTGTCAGCAACCGGAAACCAAGCAAGGACAAAGATAAAAAGAAGAAAAACCCTGTATGTATCATTTTCCATTGGCACCATTGAAATTTTTATGATTTCGGTT
Organism: Homo sapiens; assembly: GCF_000001405.40. Taxonomy (NCBI): domain Eukaryota; kingdom Metazoa; phylum Chordata; class Mammalia; order Primates; family Hominidae; genus Homo; species Homo sapiens. The sequence continues at coordinate 162,149,363 of NC_000005.10, forward strand.
TAGTTTGTTTTCATTAGCCTATCTGCAGGCTAAGGCTCAGCAGTTTGGGCTCCAAGATGAAAACAGCATGTATGAGTTTAGCCAGGCCATAACGATTCATTTACAGTCATTAGTTACTTGAGAGAGACTCAAGTCTGTTTCTATTTTCTGTGTCAGAGTTCTTATGCAAATATAATTACCTGCTCTCTTTATTTTGTGGAGACTAAAGCCATTTTTGAGAAATGTGACCTTCTTCTTGTTGCTATTATTCCAGGTTTCACTGATTTTTTGAGATGGAGTGTCACTCTGTTGCTCAGGCTGGAGTGCAGTGGCGGGATCTCGGCTTACTGCAACCTCTGCCTCCTAGGTTCAAGCAATTCTCCTGCCTCAGCCCCCTGAGTAGCTGGGACTATAGGCACACGCCACCATGCCTGGTTAATTTTTGTATTTTTAGTACAGACGGGGTTTCACCATATTGGTCAGGCTGGTCTCGAACTCCTGACCTCAGGTGATCCACCTGTCTCGGCCTCCCAAAGTGCTGGGATTAGATGCGTGAGCCACTGCGCCTGGCCATGATAATATTATTAAATCACTGATATTTTAAATTAAAACTTCCATCTCAGGCATTCCACTAGGAAGCTATAAGGTCCTTGAAGTTTCAAGGCTGACTACATTTTTGCAAATGATTTAGTGTGTGTATGGAGGTGGAATGTGGGTATTGTCACCAGATAATTTCTATTGATTTCATTCTCGAAATGTATCTTTTTGTTTTTAAAACAAATGATTTACTATTATATGGGCAAGTTAGTTAGCCTCCTTGTGTGTTTTATATATATATATGTAGTGTATTATTTAAAAACACTTGTCTTATGGGGCTCCTATGAGAAATAAATGTGGCAATGAAGGGCAAAACAAAAAATCCCAAAATATTACATAGTACTCTACACATGAATGTACTTAACATTAGTAGTTGGTGATGATAGTTGATTTTGATGATTTATACAGTTTCCAGCCTGGATTGACTTCAGTGCCACAATTTGAAAACAGGGAGGATGACTTCTACTTGCAACCAAACTTTAAATAGTGAGGATGAAGCATAAACACAAATGCCTAAAGCAACTGTTTTTTATTGTGAGTGTTGAGGAGAGCACATAGTTACCCATTTACACACCTGAACAAAGTGGCTGGCTCATAGAAATCCCCATGAAAGTTAAGGTCCATTCCCTTCCAAGATATGGGCAAAGAGAATCACCTGACAATCCTGGATCATGGCCTTCTGCTTTGAGAGCCGTAATAACGCTCTACCTATCCAACCCAGAGACTTTGGAGGTTGAATTGTAAGGAAGGAATTTAGCTGATTCTAGGTTGTATTCTGATGCAGCTGCAGAAACCCAAGTGAAATACTACAAGAGTAATGTGTTTATTTGAATGTAAGACTTTGGAACATGGAAAGAAAGAAACATCATTATTCTTGATTTAAAAAATGCTTTCTTTAATTGCTCAAATATTTACAATGCTTTATGCAGTCCTTCCCTTCCCTGTCTGTTTTGCCTCTCTCTGACTTTCCATTTTCTCTATCCTTGTTTTATTTTCCTTGTTGTGTTGTTTTTGTTTGCTCCCTCTTGTTCACTTTCCATTTCACTCTCCCTCAAGAAGGTGGTTCTATTGAGAGTTGGCATATTACCTGCCAGCTATAACAAGGACATGAGGACTGGCTTTCAAACAAGTTCTGATGAGTCCTTTGGAAAAAGCCCCTTGGCCCTCTCTGTCAGCTACGCCATTGCAGAGTAGATTTTGTTGCAAAGATAGAGGCAGATTCCCTTATTCAGGGTCATGGAAATGGCAGAAGAAGAAAAGGCAGAGGAGAACAGGATAAAAATTTGAGAAAATGAAATTACCTGAGAATTTCATGCACTTCTTTTTAGGCAATTAGATGATTCATCAGAACTAGCAAGAAAATAAACTAGGAATGAGAAGCTGAAAGTTTATTTTCCTGTTTAATATGCCTTTTGGATAATTGTGTCAAGACTCACCTATTAAGTTATCCGTGATGATAATTAGAAAATAGAATCATAGTATTTTTAAACAGGGGAACCAGGCAATAGAAAACTTCCTTGCAATTGAACAACTCTGGCTTCTTCAGTCAAGTAATTGTAGATTAATTTATTAAAAATTTCACTAGTAATTACAAAATTACACTTAACTTTAAGCAAATACTTTATCCCAAGCTCAGAACTCTCCTTCTGTGTTTATAATTTCAGTTCATTTCACTTACTGTGTTTTCAAAATGTATTTTTAATTTATCTTGTCTCTCTCTTTTTTTTTCATTTTTTTTCTCCTTTTTATTAAAAACAAATGCAATTCTCTTTTCTGTCTACAAACCCAAAGCTTCTTCGGATGTTTTCCTTCAAGGTATAATGTTTTTGGAATGGAAATTCACTGCATGCAACTGCTAAATTTAACTATTAATGCTTACATGGTGTTTTATTTTGTTTTATGAGTAGACATTTAAGCATTCTACTAGAGATAATATGTTGGAGAAAGTTCTACAGACTTCTAGAGTTGATTCAGCAACTATACACTAATTCACATAGGTTTTAATCTTACACCAAGCCCAAAAGCTATAATCCCTGTGAGATGTCATAGGTAAAGAAGGCTGCTTTATCCATCAAAGCCAAAATGAGCTTCCTCTTTTCAGATGAAAATGGGATTGAGTCTTACTGATTACGACTACCAAGTTTGTACTCTTTTAAAACTAAAATTTAACTCTGTAAATCTTAATTCAAAATGTATTGGTTCATTACTGTTTGTAAACTTAATGATTTCTGTTTTTCTGAACACTACCTGTAAGTTCTGTAAGAACAATATTCTTTTTGAAAGGCTTTGAGTTAAAATATCCATTCCTTATTTCCAGAGTGATCCCTGAGCCTTTTGGCTCTACTATAATGTGTTGCAATGAGATTTCTATTCAAATATAATAGCTGATTCTGAGACGTTAGAATTTCTGTTTAGATTATGCTAAAATGAAATCATCCAAATTAACATTAAATATATCATTTAGTTGCATAGAAATTTACCAACTGGTCTAGCAGGAAATTTGACAAGTAGTAACCTTCTTTTCTCAATTTCCATTCACATGTAGGTAAACATTGTTGACATTCTTAAGCTTATAGATGGTGAATATTAGAAAAAGAATCATAGTCCTTTAAAACATAAGCCATACCATTGTGGTATACAATCAGGAAAATTCTGTATTTATATATATTTTAACATTTTCTATTAACATTTAATACATTTGCTCAGAGTAATGGGTTTTCTATTTGCCTATAACTAAGCATGACACAATATTTGATTTCAGAATTGATGCATTTTTATTTCTCTGTTCCACTCACATGCAGCACCATCAAATGCCTTCATGTAACCAATGTCACATCTAATACTTACTAGAATAAGATTCCATGTAATTTGATTTAAATATTTAACTTTGAGTTCTTTTGGTGTTCAATCTCCTTGCTATAGCTATTAGCTTGATGATATTATTTTCAGCTGCACTGCTTAAGCTCAAAATTTGAAATCTGCAAATGTGCTATCTTTCTAAGTTCAATTTTACCATTGTAGATCATGATGTCATAGCAATTTCCTGAGTACCCATTTTCAGATTCATCATCACATTGGTGACATTGTGGAAAAACAGCCTAGGATCTCTCGAGAACAACTAACTGATCCCTCTCCTTCCCTACCCTCGTCCCAGGCCCCTACCATTGATATCCGCCCAAGATCAGCAACCATTCAAATGAATAATGCTACACACCTTCAAGAGAGAGATGAAGAGTACGGCTATGAGTGTCTGGACGGCAAGGACTGTGCCAGTTTTTTCTGCTGTTTTGAAGATTGTCGAACAGGAGCTTGGAGACATGGGAGGATACATATCCGCATTGCCAAAATGGACTCCTATGCTCGGATCTTCTTCCCCACTGCCTTCTGCCTGTTTAATCTGGTCTATTGGGTCTCCTACCTCTACCTGTGAGGAGGTATGGGTTTTACTGATATGGTTCTTATTCACTGAGTCTCATGGAGAGATGTCTGTTCTAAGTCCACTTAAATAATCCTCTATGTGGTTGATAATGATCTGAATCTGTTTCTATGTCCAAACCTGGTAAATTTTATAATGTCATATTGTTTGTGCCCAGCCCTCCTTTGGTTAGTGTACTTTGAACTTCGATGTTTGCTGTGTTTCAAACCTGCAAGGCAAAGTAAAATTAGAGCAAGAACATTCAAACCAAATAAGATATTTTTCAGCTACAGCAAATAAAACAGTGAAAGCCCTGACTATTTACAGTAGTGGTATCCTTACTAGATTCATAATGCAATTAGATAGAAAAGGTCCAAAACTGTACCCTATGTTCACTCCGGGTCAAGTTGTGATAAATTTGATCCCAATAGAATACCTCCCTCATTTAAGAAAAATCATAACTCACTTTAAATATGAAAGCCTAGTCCAGAAATCTATTACACCTTTATCTCAAGATAGGAAGAAAATTTCCTCCACATTCATGTACAATGATGTAAATATTTCAATAACTTAGAATGCTTCAAGTTTAGTGCATGCATCTCTTTAGATCCAAAATAAATGGACTGAAGTTATCATCCTATTGTCTTTTATTTTGTGTCCTTGGGCTATAAAAGATTCCTGAATGTAATTATAAGGATTTGGGTTTGGAAATGGAGGGAGGAATTTTCATTGCCTTCTCCCTCATGCATGAAGATTCGAACAGCTTATTTTTTCCTTGTATGACATATTACAACACTTTAAGTAAAATATAGACTGGATAATCAACATTTGCCACCTCTAAATATGCCCAATTTCATAACTAGAGTATAAAGTAATTGTATGTGCTTGCCGCTATTTTTTTCTTCCTTTTAGGATGATAGATCATAACAGAACTTATTCTCCATCTCAAGATCTGCTTCTAGTGATTGTGAGTGCCTTGTGGGCAGAATCCTTGTCATTTCCTCTTTGGGTCTGTAGCACCTTGCATAGTGCCTGGCATATAGTTGGTGCTCAATAAATATGGTTTGAAGTGAATTGCCCTCACATGCTTCTGGCAAATCTCTGTGCTGGCCTGAAACCAGTGACTCATCTTCTCACATAGGTGTTGTCAAGTGATATTTGATTTTGTAAAAATAACCAGTAGGATCCAAAGAACTTTAGCTATTTATGTTCATCTTCAAAAAATTATTTTAGGCAAAGTCCATACTCCTTTTAAAACAATATTTATGTCCTATGTTTGTGTATAGACATGACTCTACTAGGGCATAATTAGAGTTTGTGTATTATTTTTCCAGGTTTGGGGATGAGTCAGTCCTTGCCCATCCACAATTTTGTTTGTGAACTTATAACAGGAATAAGCAAAATTCATACCTGACTAGTGTTCAGAATGTAGCATTCTGTGCGAAAAAGTATTGAAGATTAGCTTTTAAAAACTGAAAAAAAAAAATGAATGACTCACATAGAGGTTGAGCCAATGACTGTGGCCTCATTAGATTACATTGTAGTTAAACAAAGCAATTTCTCCAGACTTAAAACATGATGAGTTGAGCTCTATCTTCATGTACTCATCCTGAATCCTTATTTTTCTAAAATAGCACCCTTTGTTAATTATTTTTATGGAAATTATTACTCTGTCATAATTAAATCATAGCTAGTATAACTTTACAGATAACCTAAAAAGAATAGAAAAGAAGAGAGAGTGGCTTTGTCAGTATAAAACCATGTAAAGTCATCATCAAGTCATCTGGATGAATCTTGAAACACATTTAGCTGCCAGTTTTACAAACCTTTAATATATCAGTGCTCCAGTATATAACCTCAAACAAATGTAAATAGAACGAATTATTTTCTTGTTTTGAATTGTCAATATATTAAATGTTGACTCTTTGGGAGAGTTGTTGGCAAGTTTCAATGGTGAGAAACATTATTGTCAACTTGAAATGTGTTCTGTAATGGGGACACTACAAAAAGCTAGCTTTCCAATGTGTGCATAGTATTGGCAATATGAATATATATTATATATAATCTAATACTTATTATAAGCTGCTCCCTGTCTATGTATTTGGAAACCTTTTCACAAAGGGAATTGCCTAACATGTGGACTTTTACAATAAAAATGCTGCATTCTAATCCATGGTGGCATCTCAGTAGTCTGGTGGGACTGTTTGTCTTAGAGATTGTGACCTCTCTTTCCTGCCTCATTTCCCCAAATCCCCTCTCAGTGAGCTTTATCTGTGAGCTGTGTGACTGTGTTTTGCATGGCGGTACTCTTCACCTCAAAAAAATTAAGAGAGGCATGTGGGTTGTAGAGTGAAGAAGAAAGGCAGACATGTAATAAAGTAAGTAAAAATTCAAGTCTTCTCTACCTCAAGAATTTCGGTGTGGTTAACATTAATTCCAGTGCCAGACAAAGTTGGGATCCCAGCTTTACTATTTACCAGTTGTTAGACAATTGTCAATTCAGACTTTAGAATCCTCCATTAAAAATAATTTATGTATTTGTTTATTTGTTTAGAGATGGGGTGTCCCTCTGTCACTCAGTCTGAAGTATAGTGGCACAGTCATAGCTCACTGAAGCCTCAAACTTCTGAGCTAAAGCATTCCTCCTGCCTCAGCCTCCTGAATAGCTGGAACTACAGATGCATGCCACCATGCCCAGCTAGAAGTCTCCATTTTAGCAGCTATAAATTAGATATACCAATGCTAACCTATGTAGTGACACTCAACAAATGGTCAAAAGCTCTCTCCCTCACTTCCGATGCCTTCCATGCACTGCTGTCATGCTCCCTTCATCCTATCAAACTAGCTTCCCTAATAGAATCCAGCATTAGGCATATAAGCCTTTAAGTGACTCTACATCACTCTATTTTTATTTTTAGGAAATATTTGCATTGCAAGTCTTTTAAACTATATGTGGGAAATTTCTGTCTCATTGGAAAAAAACTTACACATTACATTAGTTATTTTTAAGGCCAAAGAACTGTTATTTGTACCCTCAAAATTTACAAACATACAAAGTTGATTAGCCCTACTCCAGAGACAATGTCATGTTTTCTTGAACTCTTTTGAAATTCTCCCAGGAATATAATATTATCTTCACAACACAGCTGCCCTAACCATCCTTGGCCCCATTCTCTTGGCCCCTCATATCTTCCTGCATCTAATTTAATCATCTATTTCTCACCTTCCAAACCTATAAAAATATAGTTTTCACTTAGATGTTGTCTGCTGTCTAACTCAATGCCCTGAACTTTAGCTGAATTCATATCTTTATATGGCCTTCATTCCTTGCATTAAGTCTCAATATTATTCTGACTAGTAGCAAAAATTTTTGTCTGCAATGAAGGTCAAATTAAGTTAACAAAATGATGTGGTCTTCAGGGATTATGTCAAAAATTGCTATCTCTATGCTTTGTCACTATGAATCTTTGTCAAAGGTGTAGAATATGGGGGAATGACGTAGACCAAGAGCTCGGCTATGTTTTCTAGTGCTCAGTGAACTGCCAAAGGTCACACAGCTAGTTAATGACAGATCAGGGGGTCATCTAAGCATTGCTCTTTCCACTGTGTCTCACAGTATTTCAGAATTTAGAAGTAAAATTCTGGAATACTTTATCTTTCTGTTAATATTTTAGGATCTGCCAAACTGCAGGATGCTTTCCTTCTTTGATCTAAGCCTCACTTTGACTCATTTTATTGCAATGAGACAGGAATTTGAGAATACCTAGTAACAGAGGGAAGTCAATGGGTTTTGTATTTATTTTATTCCTTCTCATGTGAAATGACCAATTGATATTTAATATTACCCATACTGCTTTCAGAATGCTGTTTCAAAGAAACATCTAAACAACTCCAGACCTAGAGTTAGCCTTTGTCCTTTGGGATATGTGGCAGTAGACAACCAAAAAGTTTCCATGGCTAGGATCTGCAGGCTCATTCTTTCTACTATTTAAGCAAAGTGGTGGGGAATGACCTAACTATTATGATTCTTTCTAAGGTTACAGATTATAAGCCAATTGCAAAATCCAGTTGTAACTTTCTTTTGCCACATTTTGGATAATAAAGAAATAGTTTCCTCTAATTATGGTTTGTGTAACTAATTGGAAAAGCAGAGGCTCTTGCTCCAGATTAACTAGGTTCAAATATCAGCCCTGTCAACTTTTGTCTGCCTTAGTTTTCTCACCTGAAAAATGGAGATAATATTGGTGTGTATCTCAGACTTTATTATAAGGAGAAACTTAGTTAATACCAAAGAATTACTGGATGCTAGTAATTTTCCTCAGTAAGGATATAAAGTTTCAGAAAATACAGGGTACAAGAACCATATCTACTTTGCTTAAAAATATTGATCATCATTTGTGAGGACTCTCTTTTCTCATAAAAAAAAAAGTCACTGGACCGGGGATAGAAATTTCATTTAACATCTGGGGATTTCCAAATATTCCTATCTTGATGATATTCAGTTTCTTACGTAAACAAGGGAATTTGGCCCCTTTTTCTCCAGCAGATTTTTATTCGATCACTTCTCTGCTATTTGCTATGGCCTGATGTGATTGATTACCATCTAACATTCTGACTCTATTAAACTCTGTCTTATCTCCATACAGGTATCTTGGCTCATTTATCTTATTTCCACCCTGAGACTTCTCTAAAAAAGCACAATTTTCCTAGAATGTCGTCCTCTGCTCAACAGATTCAACAGTCTCTAATTAAAGACTCTACCTGGTCTGTAAGGTCTTCCCAGTTTCACTAAAGTTCAATATGCTATTTTCTTTTATCTCTTCCAGTTCTTGATGTGACTTTTGAATGGCCTAATCCTAATGTTTATCTTAGCTAAATACTTACATTCATCCAATCCTCTTTGTAAACAAACATTAAATGTACAATGCTGTGACAAGAATATATTATAAATAATTCACTATCAATTGGCATCTTAAATCAGGTTGTTTATCTTCTATCTCCATGCTCTATAAATTTGCCTCGCAGTTTTTTTTTTTCTGAGACTTGTGTGTTTTATGGGTGTGGAATTAAGTTCCTCATCAAATAGGTTTTAATTAAGCATCTATACATTCAGCTTAATATAAAGTTTTCAGTAAATTCATGCCATGGGCCTAATATAGGGCCCTGTGAGTGCAGGAAGAGGTAAATTTCAGGTATGCTTTGCCCTGAAATGCCCATAATATGATAGAGGAGTCAGAAAAGAATACAAATAACTCTAATGGAGCTGCACACAAGTAGTTGTAGATAGAATAAGTCATATTCTAACTGTGAGTGAAGTCAGAAAAGGGTTTCTCTGTATAAAAAGCATTCCTCTACATGTAAGGAGGTCCCATCACTGCTCAAAATCCCCCTTTCTGTAATTACTAATAAAAATCCTATAGACTATTTGAAAACTATGTACATGTACATAACAATATTGTTCTTAATCCATTAGCAAGAGTTAGTCACTAAAATAGTATTTATCTTTCTATTTTTGTTTTCCTCCATATGTATTTACAGCTGAGGGTTTTTTCCCCACATATATTTAAACACACGGATTAGACAGGTGAATAGAAGTATAGATATGGACATACATCTGCTTTGAAGTCTCATTTTTCCACACTATTATATATGTGTGTGTGAGTATATTTAACATAACATTTTCTGGCTTTCCATTATTATATCACAGGACTGTGTCATAATTTATTTAGTCAATCCTTTATTTCTGAAAATTTGCATTATTTCTTATTTTTGTTGCTGTAAGTAATATTACAAAACTGTTTTTGTTGCTATAAGTAATATTACAAAAATATTTTTGTCACAGGCATATATATATATTCCTCTATTTTCATAGAATATATCCCTAAAACATGAGCTTTGCTGAATTAAAATGTATAAGCATTTAACAATTAGAGTCCTGACAGAAAACAAATGGTATACTCCAAGGAGTAATTGAAGAAAAATTAATGAAGGGTTACTTACAAAGATTAGGCAAGGTTAAAGTCTACCAATTATAGGATGGTTTAGTACAACAGGTCTAGCAGTTGTCAACTGAACTAGTTACCTATATCCGTTGTACAAATTTCAATGAACTCAGTGACTTAGAACAACAAAAATTCATTATCATAATTAATTTCAGAAGGTCAGAAATTTCAGTGGCTGAAGTCAAGATGTGAGCAAGGCTGCATTCCTTCTGAAGGATCTAGGGGAGAATTAATTTCTTGACTTTTCCATGTTCTAGAGTCCTCTTGAATTCCTTGGCTTGTGGCTCATGTTCACCTTTAAAGCAAGCAACTGCATCACTCAGTCCCTTTCCTTCATCTTTCCTCTGGCTCTGACCTCAAGCCTCCTACTTACAAAGACCCTTGAGATTACATTGGACCCACCCAAATAATCCAAGATGATCTTGTCTTCAGATCCTTAACCATGCCTGCAAACTCCCTTTTACCACGTAAGATATATGTACAGTTTGCAGGGATTCGAACAAGGACATTTTTGGGGACCTATTATTTTGCCTACCACACTACCTTAGTCATTAAAGTACAAAAGGAAGGGACAGTTACAGGACCTAGAAAGAGCTGTAGAACAGGAGCCGTGACTTTAAACTAATACAACCACTGCCCAACAGCGGCCAGTCAAGGAGGGAGAGTAGGAATAAGTAATCAGAATTCTCTCTTCTCCTACCTAAAGTATATCTAATTGGTCAAAGCAAATGGAAACTAGTGGACAGGGAAATGCAGATAGGGTGGGCCAGAGGTCAGCCTTATGGGGCACACCATGTGGTGAAGAACTCTGAAGAATGGATCCAGAGAAATGACTGGAAATTATCCAGAAAACCTCTCCAAAAATCAGCATAAGTGGTACAAAAGAAAGCTTCTTTACTTGTACCCTACTTAACATAAATTTCTGAAATAAAGAAGAAATTTAGGGTTTTCAAATAGATTTCTATGCCATGGAAAAAGTAGTCTTTAAAAGTTATTACACTGGAATATTACAGATCCATATATTTTATATTGGGTAATCTGTTCAACCTGAAGAACTTTTCAATAGGCTTTAAAGCTATAAAGCAAATGCCTTTATACAACACTTTCTGGGAGTTAATGTGGGTTAATAGACATGCCCTTCTGGTGAGTCCTGTGGCAAGGGTGCCAATTCAGTCAGTGATTTGCAGGCCACAGCACCCTCGAGCTATTTTCACGAAGGGTGGACCTTCTGAGCCAATATTTCTCATCTGTTATTGCAGAACTTAAAAAGGGACAGGGCTTCTGAGTCACTGAGAGCCCAAGGGTACAATTCTATACTGGGTTCAAGGCTGAAAATAGCAAAACCACAGATCTATTTCTGTAAACACAATGACTGTAAGGACAACTACAACTTAATTTGGACAACTTAAACTAAAGTGACTAAAGCAAACCATTTGGAAAACAGACTAGCTTAGTACTGACACTCTGAACACAGCCTCTTATAGTGTACAAGACTATGACTTTCTCATTGACAGCCTTCCCATCCTCTTAAAGTCATGGGGGAAACTGAGTCCTTATTAGGGCTAGATTGTGAACCCTGTTGAACAAAAAAGAAGGACAATTTTACACGGCACTTAAATTTAGCTATTCTCTTCTAAACCTCCATTGATTCTGCATCTCCCCTTTCATTCTTTCAATCTCTTTTTTTTCTTCAAAAAGACTTGATGTCACTGTGAAGCAATGAAGATGTGATTCAATTCAATAAGTATGTTGAGTGCCTACCATATGCCAAGAACTGCCCTATGCATTGGAGATATCTTGGTAAAAATTAATGGCTCAGGCCCTATCCTTACAGAATTTACAATATAATGCAAAAAGAGGTGAGAAATGTGAAATTCAGTGGGTGGTTAGTATTATTAATGCAGAGGTAAACATCTGATCACAAAAGCCTCACCCTTCCCCAAATTCTGTATATATAAATGTATGGGGTAGGCTTAAGCTGATATTCTTCAATTAACATTAATAGATTTATTTCTTAGATATAGAAAATAAACCTATAAAGTAGTGGATCGTGGGGTTTCTTTAGGATAATACTTTTTTCATTTTTAAAAATTGCTAGTATCTGCTAGAGGATTGAATCAGGTTTTTTTTCATTATAAATGTCTTTTCAGGTATGTATATGAAATTACACAGGCAACATGTATTTCTTTTGAAAACACATTGGTTTTCAGGCATAGTGATCTTTTACCAAGGGACTAAACGATAGAGAATCTTAAAGTGCTCTCAGTGGTGTTTTATATTAAATAGTTGACTTCCCTAGTTTGGCATTGTGGAATTAGTACCAATTATTAAAGTAATAAATTCTTGCTGCTACCATGAAAGTTGGGGCTTTCAAACTTGTATTGATCTATGATAAGCAATAATTGTACATTTTAAGCTAATATACATGCACCATGCATATCCATGCATTTGCAATATACATACTTGATGCAACATTTCTTGTAAAGCTATAGCTTCTCAAAGTGAGGGCCAAAGTTTACACTTCTAAATCTTTATTGCCTAACACAGTGCCTGACCCATAATAGCCACTTGAGAGATGAAGTTTTTAAAATACAGTTTGTCAAATGGATGCTGCTGGACTATTATTTGTAAAGTTTTTATTTAAAATACCCATTCTATTTTTTTATTTTTAAGGAGGAATATATATATATAAATATATATACATATATGTGTGTGTATATATATATGTGTGTGTGTGTGTGTGTGTGTGTAATCACAACATTCTAAAGCATCCTTTCACAAATCTTCCCCCAGAAGAGTACCATTAACTTGATGAACATAATCAAAAGTAATCCTCAGATGTTAATGTGAGAGTATCATCAAAGGCAGTATCTACTGAAAATCCCCATGAAATTTAAGACAACTTACTGAGATTTGTTATTTAGCAATTAACTATCAATGGTAACCAATCAACTCAATTAGTTGTGGGGACAAACAAGAAACATATTTCCTTAAATGAGATTTTGCCAGGTAAAATTCTAACAAGGGTCAAGACTAAAATTACTTTCTTTCTTGATAAAAATATGGTTTGGATGTTTGTTCTCTACAAATCTCATGTGGAAATGTGAACCCCAGTGTTGGATATGGGGCCTGGTAGGAGACTATTGGATCATAAGGCAAATGTCTCATGAATGCTTTAGCACCATCCTCCTAATGGTAAGTGAGTTCTCGCTCAGCTACTTCACAAAATATCTGGTTGTTGTAAAGATTCTGGGACTTCCTCCTTCTGTATCTTGCTCCATTTCTCATCATGTGGCGTGCTGCTCCTGCTTCACCTTCTTCTATGAGTGAAAGCTCCCTGAGGCCTCACCAGAAGCCAAGCAGATATCAGCACCATGCTTCCTGTATAGCCTGCAGAACCATGAGCCAATTAAACTCTTTTCCTTCATATATTACCCAGCCTCAGGTATTCCTTTATAGCAACACAAAATGGACTAATACAACAAGTTAGCAATTATTCGTAATTGTCTTAACATCTTTAAGCCCTCACTGAACCCAATTTGGAAAGTTTATTGTAATTTTTTGCATAATGTCTTAATACTTAATCCAAGGTAGAAAAATAAAAGGATGATAATTTTCTGGTTATTCTGTTTAATGTCTACATCCTTCAAAAACTTATTTTGATGGTTTTATATACATTATATAAAATGAAAGAAATAGGTCATCTTTACATGTTTAGAGTGGGTGAGAGTAAGAGCAAGACCCAGGCCAAGAGCAAGATGAGATAATGAGGAATAAATAACACAGTGGGGAAAGGATATAGGAATTTACACTTCTCTGACCATTAATTCATTACTATTAGAAATAATTTAACTAGAATTCCAAATGTAATAATTTCTTCATATTGGGATATGACATTCTTATTTGCAAAAGTTACATTAGTCTTCATATTATCACCAGTAACACTTTGAGCACTTATATTTATATTTGTATATTGAGTAGAAAATACTATTTATAATTTTCCAAATGTTCTGTTGTTTATGACAAAGTTTAATCACAACATGCTGCTCATCACTGGTACTCAATAAATATCTGCTTTAATTACAATAATGGCAAAATTATATGCTAAGAAAGATGTGGCGGGGGGACCAAGATGACTGATTAGAAGCAGCTACAGTGCATGGCACTCATGGAGGGGAAAGAAAGGGCCAAGAAAATACAGCATCTTCAACTGAAATATCCAGGTACTCTTATCGGGACTGATAGGGTAAACAACTCAACCCATGGAGAATGATGAAAAGCAGGGCAGGATAATGGCCTACCTGGGAGCAACATGGAGTCAAGTGAACCCCTACCTCCTGTCAAGAGAAGCGGTGAGTGAATGTGCAACCCTGGAAAACCACACTTCTCTCATGGATCTTTGCAACCCTCAGATCAGGAGATCACCTCATGTGCCATTCCACCAGGGCCTTGGGTCCGACACACAAAGCTGGGAGGAGTCTCAGCAGAGCAGCTAATCAGGCATGCACATACTCTGGCCCTAGGGTTCCGACAAAGGTGACTGCAACTCAGGCAAGGCAGGAGGTGTGTGAAGCGGAGTCATTTGTTTGGGGTAATACTCGAGGTTACTTCCCTCATGCCAAGGAAATGAAGGATGTGGAAAAACACAGGGAGTGAGTATAAGAGCAGAAGTTTCATAGGCGAAAGAAAGAGAAAAGAGAAAAGCTCTCGCTCCTGCAGACAGAGAGGAGTTTTCGAGTGGGTCTTCTGGTTCCGTGGTGAAATGCACAGGGTTTTATAGTTGAGCTTGAGGAGGCAGTGTCTGATTTACATAGGGTACAAGAAATTGGTCAGGCCAGGTGTACCATTTGCATCGCACGTGAAGAAGCTGTCCATTTCACCCCAATCTTTTATTATGCAGAGGGGGTCTCTACCTGGCTGGTGTCATGTTGCCTGCTTTTTTACTGCACACACAGCAACAAAGAAAACAGAAGAGAAAACCTCCATATTGAATACACCTGGCTTCCAGGTATCCCTTTTCTATTGCCACAGCTGCTAGCATTTACCTATGCAAGATTTTGGCTTGCTTATCCATGCTTGCAGCCTGATTTTTCAGGCAGCTTCTTGTTAGAAAAGAAATGATTTGGGGGCTGTTTTTATTAAAAAGAAACCTTGCTGAGGACTCTCTTACCCTTGCTATCTGCCTAAATAATTTCTAGGTCTTGTATCACCTGTACGTACTCCTAGGAAGGGGGCTGAATCCAGGGCCTGGGCAGGATTGGTCTGCAGGCCCCATTTCCATGGCATCACACAAGATAAGACCCATTATCTTGAAATTAAAGCCAGCCACTGGCAACAGGGTAGATCATGCCTGAGACCTGAGATGGGACAGAGCCCCCAAGGGGAGGGGTGGGCCACCGTCTTTGCTGTTTGCACGACTCAGCCATTCCAGTCTGCAAGCTTTGGAGAGTCCAAATGATCCTGACAAGGAAGGAACTCCCCAGTGTAGCACAGCCTCTTTACCAAAATGTCGACAGACTGCTCCTTTAAGCAGGACCCTGATCCATTCCTCACTGTGATGCGCCTCCTAGACAGGGCCTCCAGCCAACCCTGCCTGCCTGTATTCTACAGACAGAGCTCTGAACTCTCCCTGGGATGGAGAGCCAGAGGAGAGGCAGGCCACCAGCTTTGTTGTTTGGATGACTCAGTCGTTCCAGTCTCTGGGCTTTGGTGAGTCCAAACAGTTTAGACAAGGAAGGGACCCCCCCCCCCACCACCTCTGCACAGCACAGCTGCTTTACCAAAACATGGCTAGACTGCTACTTTAAGTGGAATCCCAATTCATCCCTCCTCTGGGTGGGACCTCCCTGCTGGGGCCTCCAGCCACACCCTCCCCCACTCCTGTATTCTATGGACAGAGCTCTGATCTCTTCTTGGGATAGAGTACCCTGGGGAAGGGGCAGCCTGTGACTTTGCTGTTTGGATGACTCCATCATTCCAGTCTGCAGGCTTTGGAGAGTCCAAAATGACTTGGTCAGAGGCAGTTCCCCAGCATGGCATGGCTGTTTTGTCAAGGCATGGCCAGACTACTTTTTTAAATGAGACCCTGATCCATTCCTCCTCACTGGGTAGGTCCTCCTAGCTGGGGCCTCTGGCAACCTCTGCCTGTGTTCTATGGCAAACAGAGTTCTAATTTCTCTCTGGGACAGAGGGCATAAAGTGGGCCACCACCTTTGCTGTTTGGGCATATCAGCCTGTCCAGACTTTGGGCCTTGGAGAGCCCAGACTGATCAGGGGCTGAAGAGATTTCCTACACAGCACAGCTGCTCTACCAAAATGTAGCCAGACTACTTTTTTAAGCAGGTCCCTGATCCCATTCCTCCTGACTGGGGAGACCTCCAACCTGGGGTCTCCAGCCACCTCCTATAGGTGTGTTCAAGCCAACAATGGATCAGTCCCTTCCTGGGGTGAAGTTCCAAGATGAAGGGGCAGACTACCATCTTTGCTGTTTCACAGCCTTCACTGGTGATACCTCCAGATACTGGAAGGACCAAGACAACTCAGGTCTGGAGCAAACCCCCAGCAAACCATAGCAGCCTTACAGAACAGTGGCCAGACTCTTAAAAGAAAAACAAACAAAACAACAACGACAACAACAACAACAACAAAACACACACAAAATCCCCATCTGAAGGTCAGCAACCTCAAAGATAGAAGGTAGATAAGCCCACAAAGATGAGAAAGAATTATTACAAAAATTCTATAAACTCAAAGAGCCAGAGTGCCCCCTTTCCTTCAAATGAACACAACACATCTCCAGCAAAGGTTCATAACTGAGCTGTGGCTGAGATGGCTGAAATGACAGAAGTGGGCTTTAGAATGTGTCTAAAAGCAAACATCATTGAGTTCAAGGAGCACTTTGTAACCAAATGCAAGGAAGCTAAGAATCATGATAAAACAATGCAGGAGCTGACAGCCAAAATATCCAGTGTAGAGAGGAACATAACTGATTTGATAGAGCTAAAAACACACTACAAGAATTTCACAATGCATTCATAAGTATTAATAGCAGAATGGACAAAGTGGAGGGAAGAATTTCTGAGTAAATGGGCTAAATGCCCCAATTAACAGGCATAAAGTGGCAAGCTGGATAAATAACCAAGACCCATTGGTATGCTGTCTTCAAGAGACCCATCTCACATGTGAAGACATACATAGGCTCAAAATAAAGGGATGGATAAAATTTGCCAAGCAAAAGGAAAACAGAAAAAACCAGGGGTTGCAATCCGAGTTTCTGACAAAACAAATTTTAAACCAACAAAGATCAATAAAGAGAAAGAAGGGTATTACATAATGGTAAAGTGTTCAATTCAACAAGAGGGGATAATTATCCTAAATATATATGCACCCAATACAGGACCATCCAGATTCAGAAAGCAAGTTCTTAAAGACCTTCAAAGAGACTTAGACTCCCACACAGTAATAGTGGGAGACTTTAACACCCCACTGACAATATTAGACAGATTATCAGGACAGAAAATTAACAAAGATATTCAGAATCTGAACTCAGCTCTGAATCAAGCAGAGCAGATAGATATCTATAGAACTCTCTCCCCTAAAACAATAGAATATACATTCTTCTCATTACCACATCACTTATTCTAAAATTTATCACATAACTGAAAGTGAAACACTCTGCAGCAAATGCAAAATAACTGAAATCATAACAAACAGTCTCTCAGACCACAGAAAAATCAAATTGAATTCAAGATTGAGAAATTCACTCAAAACCATACAACTACATAGAAATTGAACAACCTGCTCCTGAATGACTTTTAGGTAAATGATAAAATTAAGGAAGATATCAAGAAGTTCTTTGAAACTAATGAGAACAAAAAGATAATGTACCACAATCTCTGGGATGCAGCTAAAGCAGTGTTAAGAGAAAAATTTAGGCCAGGAGCAGTGGCTCATGCCTGTAATCCCAGCACTTTGGGAGGCTGAGGTGGGCATCTTGTGAGGTCAAGAGATTGCGACCATCCTTGCCAACATGGTGAAACCCGTCTCTACTAAAAATACAAAAATTAGCTGGGTGTGCTGGCACATGCCTGTAGTCCCAGCTACTCGGGAGGCTGAGACAGGAGAACTGCTTGAACCAGGGAGGTGGAGGTTGCAGTGAGTGGAGATCATGCCACTGCACTCCAGCCTGGCAACAAAGTGAGACTCTGTCTCAAAAAAAAAAAAAAGAAAAAGAAAAAAAAAAAAAGAGGGACACATTTATAACACTAAATTCCCATATCGAAAAGCTAAAAAATTCTCAAGTTAACAACCTAATATCACAACTAAAAGAACTAGAGAAACAAGAGCAAACAATCCCTAAAGTTAGCAGAAGACCAGAAATAACCAAGATCATGGTTGAACTGAAGGAGATAGAGACACAAAACAACCCTTCAAAAGATCAATAACTCACGGAACTGATTTTTTGAAAAAAATTAATAAAATAGATACACTGCTAACTAGGCTAATAAAGAAGAGAGAAGATTCAAATAAACATAATCAGAAATGATAAGGGCAATATTACTACTGACCTCACAGAAATAGAAACAATCATCAAAGAATATTATAAACACCTCTATGCACACAAACTAGAAAAAAATCTAGAATAAATGGACAAATTCCTGGACACAAACACCCTACTAAGACTGAACCAGAAAAATATTGAATCCCTGAATAGACCAACAACAAGTTTGGAATTTGAGGCAGGAATAAATAGCCTTCAAACTAAAAAAAAAAAAAGAAAAAAAAGCACAGGACCAGAAAATTCACTGGTGAATTCTACCAGAGTTACAAAGAAGAGTTGGTACTATTCCTGCTGAAACTATTCCAAACAATGGAAAAGGAGGGACTCCTCCCTAACTCATTCTATGAGGGAAGCATCATCCTGACACCAAAACCTGGCAGAGATACAACAATAAAAGAAATCTTCAGGTCAATATTCTTGATGAACATCAATGCAAAAACCCTCAACAAAATATTGGCAAATCAAATCCACCAAAACATCAAAAAGCTCATCCACCACAATCAAGTAGGCATCATCCCCAGAATGAAAGGTTTGTTCAACATATGCAAATCAATAAACGTGATTAATTACATAAAGAAAACAAATGACAAAATGCACATTATTATCTCAATAGATTCAAAAAAGGCCTTTGATAAATTCAACATCACTTTATGTTAAAAGCTCTCAATAAACTAGATATTGAAGGAACGTAACTCAAAATAAGAACGATTTATGACAAACCCACAGCCAGGATCAAACAGAATGGGCAAAAGCTGGAAGCATTTCCCTTGAAAAGCAGCACAAGACAAGGATGCCCTCTCTCATCACTCTTATTCAGTATAGTATTGGAAGTTCTGGCAAAGGCAACCAGGCAAGATAAAAAAATGAAGCGCATTCAAATAGGAAGAGAGGAAGTCAAACTATCTTTGTTTGAAGATGACATAATCCTGTATCTAGAAAACCCTATTAACTAAACCTAAAAGCTTCTTATGCTAATAAGCAACTCCAACAAAATCTCAGGATACAAAATCAATATGCAAAAATCACTAGCATATCCACCAAAAGGCAAGCCAAGAACCAAATCTGGAATGAACTCCCATTTACAGTTGCCACAAAAAGTATAAAACACCTAGGAAGACAGCTAAGAAGGGAAGTTAAAGACCTTTTCAAGAACCACAAACCATGGCTCAAAGAAATTTAGAGATGATACAAACAAATGGAAAAACATTCCATGCTCACAGATAGGAAGAATCAATATGAAAAATGGCCATACTACCCAAATCAACTTAAAGATTCAATGCTATTCCCATTAAACTATCATTGACATTCTTCACAGAATTAGAAAAAAGTTAAAATTCATATGGAATCAAAAAAGAGCCCAAATAGCCAATACAATCCTAAGCACAAAGAACCAAGCTGGAGACATCGTGCGACCTGACTTTAAACTGTACTATAGGGCTACAGTAACCCCATCACGACTGTACTGGTACAAGAATCAACAAAGAGCCAACTAGCCAAGGCAATCCTAAGCAAAAATAATAAAGCTAGAGGCATCACGCTACCTGACTTCAAACTGTACTACAGGACTATAGTAACCAAAACACCACTGTACTGGTACTAAAACAGACACATAGACCAATGGAACAGAATAAAGAGCCCAGAAATAAAGCTGCACAACTACAACCATCTGATTTTCAATAAAGGTAACAAAAACAAGCAATAGGGAAAGGATTTCCTATTTAATAAATGGTTCTGGGAGAAACAGCTAGCGATATGCCAGAAATTAAAACTGGAACCCTTCCTTACATGATATACAAAAATCAACTCAAGATGGATTAAAGACATAAATGTAAAACCCCAAACTATAAAAACCATGGAAGAAAACTTAGGCAATACCATTCAGGACACAGGCATGGGCAAAGATTTCATGATGAAGATGCCAAAAGCAATTGCAACAAAAGGAAAAATTGACAAATGAGATCTAATTAAACTAAAGAGCTTTTGCACGGCAAAAGAAACTATCAACAGAATACATAGACAACCTACAGAATGGAAGAAAATTTTTGCAAACTATGCATCTGACAAAGGTCTAATATCCAGCATCTATAAGGAACTTAAACAAATTTACAAGAAAAAAACAACCTTATTAAAAAGTGAGCAAAGTACATGAACAGTCACTTCTCAAAAGAAGACGTACATGAGGTCTACAAACATGTAAAAAAGCTCAACATCACTGATCATAAGAGAAACGCAAAACCACAATTAGATACCATCTCACACCAGTCAGAATGGCTATTATTAAAAAGTGAAAAAATAACAGATGCTGGTGAGGTTGTGCAGAAAAAGGAACACTTTTACACTGTTGGTTGAAGTGTAAATTAGTTCAACCATTGTGTAAGACAGTGTGGTGATTCCTCAAAGACCTAGAGGCAAACTTATCATGTGACCCAGCGATCTCATTACTGGATATATACCTAAAGGAATAGAAATCATTTTATGACAAAAATGCACATGTTCACATGTATGTTCATTGCAGCACTTTTCACAATAGCCAAAACATGGAATCAACCTAAATGCCCATCAGTGATGGGCTGGATAAAGAAAATGTGGTACATACACACCATGGAATACTACATAGCCATAAAAAGGAATGACATCATGTTCTTTGCAGGGGCATGGATGGAGCTGGAGGCCATTATCCTTACTTAGCAAACTAGCTCAGAAACAGAAAACCAAACACCATATGTTCTTGCTCATAAGTGGGAGCTGAACAATGAGAACACATGGACTCAGGGAAGGTAACAACACACACTGAGGCCTATCAAAGGGTGGGGTTGGGAGGAGGGAGAGGATGAAGAAGAACAGCTAGTGGATTCTGGGCTTAATACCTGCGTGTTGGGATAACCTGTGCAGCAAACAACCATAGCACACGTTTACCTATGTAACAAACCTGCACATCCCACACATGTACTCCTAAACTTAAAAGTTGAAAATAAAAAAGAAAAGATGTTTCTCTATATGTTTATACACATTTTTCCAATAAATTTTATTTCATGGATATTGATATTTTAGATATTTGCCATATTTCAAGATTATTCAATTTTTCTCCTAACACATTTTTTTCTTTCAAAGCTATGTTGTTATATAACTTATAAAAACTTAAAAAATGTAAGAAGTGCTTGAAGGAGAAAAGAGTTCTTACTCAAGACATACCAAAAAAAATGCTAAACATAATGTTAACAAGTGATAAATTGGATTATTTATTTTCTTCAAAAGACACATTAAAGAAAGCAACACACAGAGGATCTAGGAGTTATTTTTGATACATATGTAGGAAAAGGTCTCACTAAAATTGTATGATGAACTCCTACAAATAAATAATAAGAAGAAAACCCAATAAAAAATTGGCAAATATTAAGTGAGTTCTTTACACATGAGATACCAACTAATCTATTTAACTATCATGAATGCATATTAAAACTGTAATGCCAAATCAATGTACAACTACTGAAACCAGTTTGAAAAAGAAAAAATTTCAAGTGTTGCAAACATGTGAAGTAATATAAATCCTCAAACTCTACTTGTGGAAATGTAAATTGCACAATATTTTTGAAGAGTGTTGGAAAAATTGACTAAACTATTCGTATCCAATGACCTAGAAATTCCCCTAATGAAAGCATAAACATATTCACCGAAAATATGGTTACAAAAATATTCGTCAGAGCACAATTTTTATCAGCTTGTACATTCAAGACAAGGAATACTATTTTTTTAATTACTCAAATACCAAAAACACCAAACTGCCTATCAAATACAGAGTGGATAAAAAAGCTGTGGTGTATTCTTATAATAACATTCTGTACTATAGAATGTACAGCAAGCAGCTAAAATATGCGTGAATCTCACATCTGTAATGTAGAGCAAAATGAACATCGTATTTGCACTACACTAAATATTTGTGTGCCCCCAAAATTCGTAAGTCTAAACCTTAATCTCAATGTGATAATATTAGGAGATGGGGCCTTTAGGAAGTAAGTAATGAGGGTGAAGCTTTCATGAATGGGATTAGTGCTTTTATAAGGCTAGAAAGCCAGGTTGTTCTCCTTCTTTCACATAGGATACAATGAGAAATTGGCAATCTGCAATCCAGAGAGGGTGTTCATCAGAACCTGACTATCCTAGTGCCAAGATCTCAGAATTCCATTCTTCAGAACTATGAGAAATGTATTCCTATCATTATCACCCAGGCTATATTTTGTTATAACAACCTGATCTAAGACACTAAGATTCCATTCATATAAAACTGAGAAAGAGCCAGGCATGGTGGCTCATGCCTGTAATCTCAGCACTTTGGGAGGCCGAAGGAGGAGGATCACTTGAGGCAAGGAGTTTAAGACCACCTGGGCAAAATTGTGAGGCCCTGTCTCTACTTAAAAAAAAAAAAAAAATTAGCAAAGTCTTGGAGGTGTCTGCCTATATTCCCAGCTACTCAGAAGGCAAAGGGAAGAGAACCATTTGAGCCCAGGAGGCTCCAGTGAGCTATGATCATGCCACTACTCCAGATCAGGTGCGGAGAAAGACCTGTAGATGTGAGGAGAATTCTTGTGTGTGTGTGTTGTGGAGGAGAGCAGGGAGGGAAGGGCTGAGCATGAGAAGGACTTTGGGATGTTGATAACACCATTAAACTCTTTCTTGATCTGGGTTCTGCATAGGTGGATAGGTTGCACCTATTTTGTGAAAAATATATGATAAGTACCCTTTTCAATACATATACATATTTCAATAGAAACTTCAAAAATACATAAAGGTGGCTGGGCACGGTGGCTCACTCCTGTAATCCCAGAATTTTGGGAGGGCGAGGAGGGTGCATCACCTGACGTCAGGAGTTTGAGACCAGCCTAGCCAACATGGTGAAATCCCATCTCTAGTAAAAAAAAAAAAAAGAAAATACAAAAATTAGCCAGGTGTGGTGGGAGGGACTTGTAATCCCAGCTACTCAGGAGGCTGAAGCAGAAGAATCATTTGAACCTGGGAGGCAGAGGTTGCAGTGAGCTGAGATCACACCACTGCACCGCAGCCTGGGCAACAGAGCGAGATTCTGTCTGAAAAAAAAAAATGCATAAAGGTGTATGTTTGCATATATACATACCATATATTTCTTTATATCTATCAACAAATAATATACATCTATAATAAATTAAAGTACATATCTTAGTTGTGAAGCCATGAGGCATAATATAAGGGATCTTAAAGAAAATCAGATTAGTTTTATTTTAAATATTGGTTTTTCAACAAAAAAGCATTGTGACCTCAGGAAAAAGTATAGCATATCCAGAGTTTTCTCATGAGGGGCTTGAACTATATTAACTCCAATTTTAACTTTTGTTCCTTATATTCCATAAGCTATATGTGAAATTTCATATCGATCTCCCAGGTATTGATACTGCCTTTGAAAGAGGGTAAAGATAATGAACGCAGTTTCTAGAGTATCAGTAGATCATTGTTATGTTTATTTAGATTTATGCTCGTTCACTTTACAAAATGCATGTTATAAGTTGACCACATGTTTTAACTATATAACTAGAAGTCAAATAAATTGCATTATTATTTCAGTAGTTGGAAAAGTTGTATGAACAGAATAATTCAAATGTTGTGAAAATTATGCCTATATGTATATCCATGGAGAATCATTAACTCTTACCAAATGAGAAAATCTTTCATGCTATTTACACTCATCTGTGTAATAGTCACTGGCCAATCAAGAACTAGGCTCATAAAAACTGGTTATATTTGTGACAGATGACCTGAAATCACTGTTTTATGAATGGTAAGCCTGTCTTTCCTGACCAGAGTCACATGGCTTGCTAAACTGTGCCTAGATCTTAGCTATTTTGAAGGTCAACTCCCAAAGAGAGTTCTGCAAGGAAAACATCAAGCCTTTACCATCCGAGAATGAACTACAAAAAATCACTCATGTTCAAAACAAATCATTATTTGCAACTTCTCTGGGAACCTAACTGTGGGTCCCTGAAGTAAATTTTGAGTACACCACGTAGCATATTTTCAATCAGAAAATCAAATTTTGTGGATAGATTAGATAGAGAGATGATAGATAGCCAGATCGACAGAAAAAAAGATACTAATAATATTTATGCTGTTTGGAACATTAGAGACCATTAGTGATTTTTATTTTTAAAAATATCCCTCCGAGTTTTCTAAAATCTTTAATTGTGCACACGAATTAATTTTATAAGCAGAAAATGGATATATTCTTAAATTATAAAATGACTATTATAAAAATCTGGATTTTTTAAAATATATGTGGTCAGTGTGGGAAAGATTGTTCTCAGCAAATCAAAAATTATACAAAAAACAAACCTGCACGTTGTGCACATGTACCCTAGAACTTAAAGTATAATAAAAATATATATATATAAAGAAAAAAATTATACAAAAAAAGTCACTACCAGCAAAGTAGACCGCAGTGCTACGTATACAATTCAACAAAAAATAAAATAAAATTTTTTTTAAATGTCAAATGTTCTAAAAACCAGAAGTTGAGTGCATTTACTTTCCGTTGTTGTTTAAACACATTCCCTTTGTCCTTTCCTCCAAACCCTTCCTGTTTCAGATGGCATTTCAGGGAGCTATTTGAAGGCTCAGCCCCTCCCACACCCACACCTCCGCTTTTAGTTCCTGTTTTTTTTTTTTTTTTTTTTTCCTGAAAAATACAGAAAGTGCTCATGAGAAGCAAGAGAGAAATAGCTCTAGAGACTGGAGTTGTCTCTACATTTCCATTATTGGAGGAGGTCAGGTGGCATTGGTCAATATGTTCCACCATCCCACAGTGATATTTTAAACGTTGCAGAAGTGCCAGGGCTCCAAAACTGGGTCATGGTGGCCCTCCTCCAATTAGTCACAGCTATTCTGCTGTGAGGCTGATGAAAGTAAGTTGCAACATTCCTGTCTCCTAATGTGGATTGATTAAGAATGATTAAATAGTGTGTTTGCTGTCCACAGCACCCACGCATGAGATAATAGAGGACACTATGGAAAGGGGGTATATATACCTGTATATATGATTAAAAACATATATATATTATAATATATTATATATATTATTGCTTGCTAAATAATATATATTATTATATATAATAATATATATATAATACATATCTATAATATAGATAAATTCTATGATCAGGGTAATGATTATATCCTCTGGGAGATCATAGGGAGACCTTGGGGAGGGAGAGAAGGCTTACAAGAGGAAGTTAACATCTAAGCTGAATCATGAAGGATGATGTGCAGTTAGCCTACTGAATGAGAGAGAAGGTCACATTGTTAGGCAGTAGAAAAGAACCTTTTTGTAAATTTTAAAGGTGAAATAAAGTGCAGCCTGCTTGGAGATCTACAAATAGCGTCCAATGGTTGGAACTTAGAATGAAATGAGTAGTTTGGATAGAAGAAGCCACAGATTTAGACAAATGCTGGGTCATGAATGACCTTGCATGCCTTACTAAGGAGTTTGGATCTTATCCTGAAGGCAGTGGAATGACATTGACAGGCTTTAAGTAAGCAAGAAAGGGACATGACCAGATTTAACTTGAGAAAATCACTCAGGGTGCGTTGTGAAAAATGGTTTGGAAGGGTCATGAACTGGAACAGAGACACCAGTTAGGAAGTTGCTGCCGTGATTACGGGGCAGGTTAATGCGTTTTGAACAGTAGGGATAGAGAGATAGGGCTGTATATTTCAGGTATTAAGAAAGGATAAGCTACAAAACTTATGATTTATTACATATGATCTGCAAGGGAAAATGTCCAATTTCTTGAGTGTATAAATTGATGAATAATTGCAAATTATTGCAATAACAAATCAAATGGAAAATTTCAATTTAGGTTCTGTTGGATTTGAGTTTTTGTGGAGAAGCCCTTGCATATTAATCACTAGAAGCAGAATGAAAAGTGGCTGATAGCGTAGGGTTGGGAGTAAGACACATCTCAATTCTAATTGTATGTATTGAGTAATTTATTAAATATCTCTAATCTTCAGTTTACTTATCTTTAAATGGAGTTAATATTTGAAACTACCTTTTAAGGTTGATAATTCATCAAATGGATTTATCAGAAAGACTCATCCGCAGTGAGTTCTCAATTATTATAATTCTTACATTTAATAGTAGTACAGTGTTACCATCAGGCTATAATTCCATAGATACATCGAAATGTGGACTGGAGATAAGGAGTAAAACTTACACTGGTAATATAGCTTAAATTATTAAAATATAAAACAGTACGTGAAGATCAGGGAATGGATAGGTTCACTGAGTAAAAGTGTTTAGAATAAAAAGAGGTTGTAACCATGAGGAAAACAAAAGAAAATTCTAGTAAGGAGGCTGAGAAGAACACAGTAAGAAGGATGTGGTGTAACATGCTCCCTCACCCACCAAAATAGAGTACAATGTAAGGAAAGGTTGATGAACACATCAAATTCTGAGCAAAGATTAACTAAAACTAGGGCTGAGACATTTCCATTCAATGAAGTAACAAAGAAGTCAATGGTGATTTTATCTACAACTATTTCAGCTTAGCAGAGGTGACAGAAGCCAGGTTGTGGTTGTGTGAAACACAAATAGAGGGTGAAAAAATGGACACAGCCAATTTTTTTGCAGACAACTTCTTTAGGACACTTGGTTGTAAAGGGAAGGAGAAAGATAAGAGAATAGCTTCAAGGGGTCCAAAAGAGGTGAAGGAAAATTTTTATATTTTAAATATGGGAGAAACTTTTATTGGTTTTAATACTGTTGAGAGGGGTTAATAGAGAAGAAAAGGCTGAGAAAAATAAAACAAATTGTATTAAATGACCCAGACCCTTAAGGACACTGAATGTGATGGGATCCAGTACATAGCTGAAGGGAAGACATGTTTAATATCGTGCCCTTGCCAAAATATCTTGCTAATGTCTACGCAATTTCTAGAATAGAATCTTCTCTGGCCATGACTGATAGTTTGCATTGTAGTCAAATTTGTCAGGGCTAGTTGATTGGATTTGCACGGCATTAGTTATTAGAGCATGAAGCAAAGTTAATCAGCATCTAATGGACAGATTTCCTGTTCTGTTAAGCTGGGAGATTTTATCCCTCAGAAGTTAAGTTGTTTCCACTTTGCATTAGTTTTCCAGGGCCATCATTTAAGCCACTATACATCTTATGTGCCAATTTTAGCAAGTTAAATATGATTCCTTGAAATGTAGTTGAATTAATAAAGTGACCCGAGAGATTGGCATTGCATGGGAAACGACAGGGAGTCAAGGATGTGGGCTTGGTATTACATATGCCTAATATAGCACATGCCTTTTGTATGCCATCCTGGTTGGCTTAATAAATAATTTATTCTATATAATTTACATATATATTTGTAATATATATATAAAATGTCAATTAAGGAAATAAAACCTAATTCAAGGAAATTGTATATTGTGTTTTGTATATATATTATATATCATATATAATATATTGCATATTATGACATATTATATAATATATAATATATTGTATAATATATTTATATATAAAATGTATTAATTATTAATAATAATTAATGTATAATATATACTATACATTATTATCATATATATTAATTATTCATGATAATAATATAACATATACTATATTTTATAATATATAATAGTTAATAATAATTATATATAATTATCATACTATATTATATATTGTTATATTATAATTATTAATAATAATATATAATTTTATATATACACACACACACATAAAATATAAAATTTCCTGGAATTAGGTTTTATTTTCTTAATTGACATTTTAGACAGCTCTCAATCTATAAATTTACTAAGTCAAATCAATACCAAAACTATTAATATTATTGTCATTGATTTGCCTCTCAGCCTGAATTCTACCAAGGGAAAAATTTATAACAGGGAAAGGTCTATTCCTTGGTCTACAGGTAGTTTTGAGATGTCTAAGTTGTTCTCAGCTCCTATGAGATCTCTACTAGTCATTAGATACGTATTATATGATTTAGTTTACAAACAACATAATTATACACAAAGGATCACTGGTGCAGAAGTTAATGGACACTCTAGAATACTCATGGATAGGTTTCAGGGATTCTGTAATCCTCTGAATTTATGCGCATTATGTTTTCAACTCAGATAAAAGGAGAACCCACAGTCTGTATAGTTTGAAAGACATGCTGAGTGGTCACCTTCATCAGTTTTCCTATCCACTGACATTTCTCTACAAAGTAGTCACATCAGTTTAGAATCCCACCAAAAAAAATAAGGGAATAATGTTTCTCATACTCCTGCTGATGAATATTATTTAAAACTTTTTAATGTTCTTTCTGATTCATAGGATTTGAATTATGCTGCTTTGTTTTAAGTTGCATTTTTACAAATTTAT
Organism: Homo sapiens; assembly: GCF_000001405.40. Lineage (NCBI taxonomy): Eukaryota > Metazoa > Chordata > Mammalia > Primates > Hominidae > Homo > Homo sapiens. Next base: position 162,178,333 of record NC_000005.10, read on the forward strand.
GAGATTCAAAATCCTTTCTTATGTTTGTGATCATTCAGATTTCTTTGAATTGATTGTCCATACCATTGGTTGTTTTCTATTTCTTTCTTCTTTTTTTTTTTTTTGTCCTATTCATTAATAGTGTTTGTTTTATGTTTTGCATATTTTACTTGTATTGGAGATATATAGATGTTTTAAATATCTTCTCTTAGTCTACCCAGTTGTTTTTTAAACTTTATAATTTCTATGGCATACAGAATTTTTTAATTCATTGTAGTTGAACTTACATGCTTTTCCTTCAGAAAGTCTTCCCCACACATAAAACTCTATTTATATATTTTATTGTAACACTTTTGTAGTTTTCATCATTTTAATATTAAGGTAATTATTCCAGATATAATTAATTTGTATATATATTTTTTGCATTCATACAAGTTATTGATTTTTTTATTTCAATAGGTTTGTGGAACAGGTGTTGTTTGGTTACATGAGTAAGTTCTTTAATGGTGATTTCTGAGATTTGGATGCATCCATCACCCAAGCAGCGTACGCTGTACCCAATGTGTGGACTTTATTCTCATACCACACCCCATCCTTTCCCCTAAGTTCCCAAAGTCTAATGTATCATTCTTATGCCGTTGTGTCCTCATAGTTTAGCTCCCACATGTGAGTGAGAACATATGATGTTTGGGTTTCCATTCCTGAGTTACTTCATTTACAATAATAGTCTCCAATTCCATCCAGGTCGCTGAAAATGCCATTATTTCATCCTTTTTACAGCTGAGAAGTATTCTATGGTATATATATATATATATATATATATATATATATATATATATATACCATAGAATACCCTAGAAAATGTTATGTATATACATACATGTGTGTATATATATATACACGTATATATGTATATATATGTGTGTATATATATGTAAAAAACATTTTCTTTATCCACTTGTTGATTGATAGGCCTTGGGGCTGGTTCCATATTTTTGCAATTGCAATTTGTGCTGTTATAAATATGTGCATACAAGTATCTTTTTTATGTAACGACTTCTTTTCCTCTGGGTAGATACCTAGTAATGGGATTGCTGGATCAAATGGTAAATCTACTTTTAGTTCCTTAAGGAATCTACACACTGTTTTCCATAGTGCCTGTACTAGTTTACATTCCCATGAACAGTGTAAAAGGTGTACCCATATCATGGCATCCAAACAAGCATGAATTATTTTTTGATTTTTTGATTATGACCATCTTTGTAGGAGTGAGGTGGTATCGCATTGTTGTTTTGATTTACACTTCCATGATCGTTAGTGATGTTGAGCATTTTTCCATGTGCTTGTTGGCCATTTGTATATCTTCTTTTGAGAATAGTCTAAGTCATCAAAAGTGTTAGCCCACTTTTTGATGGGATTGTTTTGTCGTTGTTGTTGATTTGTTTGGGTTTCTTGTAGATTCTGAATATTAGCCCATTGTCAGATGTAGATTGTGATTTTCTCAAACTCTGTGGGTTGTCTGTTAACTCTGCTGATTATTTCTTTTGCTGTGCAGAAGCTTTTTAGTCTAATTAAGTCCCATCTATTTATCTTTGTTTTAGTTGCATTTACTTTTGGGTTCTTGGTCATAAAGTTTCACCTAAACCAACGTCTAGAAGTTTTTTACAATGTTATCTTCTAGAATTTTAAAGTATCAGGTCTTAGATTTAAATCTTTGATCCACCTTGAGCTTATTTTAGTATAAGGCAAGAACTGAGGATCCAGTTTCATTCTTCTACATATGGCTTGCTAATTATTTCAGCACCATTTGTTGAATAGGGTGTCCTTTCCTCACTTTATGTTTTTATTTGCTTTGTTGAAAATCATTTGACTGTAAGTATTTGGCTTTATTTCTGGGTTCTCTATTCTGTTCCCTTGGTCTATGTGCCTATTTTTATACCAGTACCATGCTGTTTTGGTGACTATGGCCTTGTAGTATAAAGTTGGGTAATGTGATGCCTCCAGATTTGTTCTTTTTGCTTAGCCTTGCTTTGGCTATGTGGGTTCTTTTTGGTTCCATGTGAATTTTAGGATTCTTTTTTTCTAATTCTGTGAAGAATGATGGTGGTATTTTGATGAAAATTGCATTGAATTTATAAATTGCTTTTGGCAGTATGGTCATTTTCATAACATTGATTCTTCCCATCCATGAGCACGGGAAGTGTTTCCATCTGTTTATGTCATTTATTATTTCTTTCAGCAGTGTTTTGTAGTTTTCCTTGTAGAACTTTTTCATGTCCTTGGTTAGGTATATTCCTAAGTTTTATTTTATTTATTTTTTGTTTATGTTTTTTATTTATTTTTATTTTTTGGCAGCTATTGTGAAGAGGGTTGAGTTCCTGATTTGATTCTCAGCTTGGTCATTGTTGTTGTGTAGCAGAGCTACTGATTTATGTACATATTTTTATATTTTTATAAGTAGGACCTAATTTAACTTATTCCATATGTACAATTATTTAATCTAGCAAAAATTATTCATTAAGCATTTTCCCCTTTAAAGTGTATGCAACCTCCCTCATTTAATGATTTTGCATACATCTAAAAATATCTTTCCAAAATTTCCGTTCTAATTCATTGATTTATTGGTCTACTTCAGTATAACACAATGTCCACATAAGTTCTTGAAGGAAAGGTAAAAAAAAAATGCATTGCTACGATTTTGTTAATAATGTAAAGTTCAGAACAGACATTAAGAAGGGATTGATTATTATAAGTATGGCTGATCTATGCAATGCGCTATATCCAACAGCTAAAGTAATGGTGTTCATTTAAGCATGGAGATAGGCTGAAATATACATATGCTCAAATACATATATTTAAAGTATGGCTATAATATTTATATATAAAGCATAAGCTTAAATACAATGTATATGCTAAAATATATATACACATACACATTTAAAATATATATTTAAATATATATTAAAGTAATTATGTAAATATAAACATATATGTATGTGTGTATATATTTTTATATATATATATACATATATATATATATATCAAATTTACGGATTTGTCATTCTATATCTTCCCATTAAACCTGGTGTATTTCCCGCACGTTCTCACTCATAGGTGGGAATTGAACAACAAGAACACTTGGACACAGGGTGGGGAACATCACACACCGGGGCCTGTTGTGGGGTAGGGGTAGGGGGGAGGGATAGCATTAGGAGATATGCCTAATGTAAATGACGAGTTAACGGGTGCAGCACACCAACATGGCACATGTATACATATGTAACAAACCTGCACATTGTGCACATGTACCCTAGAACTTAAAGTATGATAAAGAAAAAAAACCCGGTGTATTTCCATTCTCCAATATAATAGATTTTTCTTTCGGTAAAAAACTATCCAAGAGTTGGTAGCTATAATTTCCATTTTGTAAATAAGCAAGGCAAGAATTAGATGAGAAAGATAAGATGCCTGAGATCACGCAGGGACTAACACAATTTACATATAGATTTCCAAGCAGCCAATAAAATAACTCATTGTGTGACATGGCTTTAAGCAGGAAGCTTAATTCCTGTATACAGTAACATTTGTCTCTTATTCTTGGGTCATTGTTAAAACCTTAACCGCTAGATTAAAATGGTGGATATTTTTACACTCACCTCTTGCTGCTTGGATGTTGTTTAATCTTTATTTCTAGCACCTGTGGATTTCCTTTCTTTCGTAAGCCTAAGTTTGTCCACAGGATAATTTTAATTTGTGTTATTCAGAATTTCAAGATGTTTGTAGCTAGAACTGTGTCAGAATCAGAAGTTAAATGAGCTTGTACAATTGATGAATGGTATGTTCTCATGTACAAGATACATGAAAATGTAGACTCATTTTCAGTTTTAAATAAGCATTTAAATACAAGTTCTTCTTTTACTTTCTTTTTTTTCAAACTGGTGCTATTAAAACAAAGACAAATTATCTTGCCATGATTGATGTAATGCTATTACAGTATCCTTTGTTCTCAACTTTTCTTTATGAGGGTGAATCTCATCAAAATCTTTAGAAATATCAGAATTTTCTTCTAATTTATTTATTTATTTATTCATTTATTTACTTATTGCTGGTTTAAAGCTAATCTTTCAAGCCAGGAGATGTGCAGCATGCCTTTAATCTAAGATACTCAGGAGGCTGAGGCAGGAGGATCACTTGAGCCCAGGAGTTTGAGTCCATTTTGAACAACATAGTGAGACTCCCATTTCTTAAAAATATATCTAAATAAAATGAAGTTAGTGGTTCAAAATCCTCATTTCAAACACAGGCCTATGCTTTCAATAAACAATATAACTATAAATTACTGGGCTTTAATTTTAATTTGAAAAATGATACTAAAATCACAAAAGACAATTTTTAGTAATAACTTTACTTAATTCCATGTTAAAAACCATTTGTCATTTTCTTCATTAATATATAATTGATATAATTTGACTGTGTCCACACCCAGATTACATCTTTAATTTTAGCTCCCATAATCCCCATATGTCATAGGAGGGACCCAGTGGAAGGTAATTAAATCATGGGGCAGGTTTTCCCTTGCTGTTTTCATGAAAGTGAACAAGTCTCATGTGATCTGATGATTTCATAAAGGGCAATTCCCCTGCACACACTCCCTTGCATGCTGCCATGTCAGACGTGCCTTTGCTCCTTCTTTGCCTTCTGCCATGATTGTGAGACATCCCCAGCCATGTGGATCTGTGAGTCCATTAGATCTCTTTTCTTTATAAATTACCCAGTGTCAGGTATTTCCTTATAGTGGCATGAAAATGGACCGATACAGTCATAAGTTAGGTACATTTTTAATTTTGCTGTATGTGTTTTATGACATATCTATTAACCTATCCATTATTCTTTTAATTCATTTTCTTTTTAAGAGTAAAATGTCTATAGAGTGAAATGCACAAATCCCAAATGTACCATTATCTGACAGTTGACAAATGCATACACCTGTGTAATGCAAACTAATTTCAAGATATAACATTACCATTATCCCCAGAGAATTTTCTTCTACCCCTTCCCAGGAGATTCCTACTGTCAACTCCCAAAAGGCAATCGTTGTTTTTTATTTTTTTCACTATAGGTGGGTTTTACCTGTTCTAGATGTTATACAAATGGAAACAAACCATATGTATTCTTTGGTGTATGGCTTCTTTCACACAGGATGATGTTTTTGAGACTTTTTCCACATTATTGCACATTATGAGTAGTTGTTCTTTTATATCTCTGAGTCATATACTATCATATAAATATATCAGAGTTTTATTTTAACCATGCTTCTTTCATGGAAAATGAATTTTTATCTATTTTAAGACTATTATAAATAAAGCCACTGGGAATATTATTTTTCCAATTTTTTAAGAGATGAGGGCGTGCTATGTTTACCAGGCTGAACTCAAACTTCTGGTTTCAAGGGATCTTCTTGCCTCATCCTCGTGAGTAGGTGAGACTACAGGTGCACAACACCACTTTCAAATCCCTTTAAGCATATGGTTTCATGTATCTTGGGTAAAAAACTAATAACGGAATTGCTGCTTCATAGGGTAGATATAGGTTTAATTTTATAAGAAACCACCAGAACTTTTTCTAAATACATTGCAATATTTTACAGTCTCATCAAAAATATATGATAGTTACAGTTGCTTTATATCCATTAAATATTAGTTGTCATTTTTCAAGATTTTAGTCCTTCTCGTGGGTGTTTGGCTTATTTACTTATTTACCTATTTTTCTAAAACGACTTAAGTGAAATTGAAACAGGGAAATATGGCATGATTTTTTTTTCTAGCTGTGTTTTACTTTTAGTTTAACTCCTTTGTGGTCAGATTACATATTCTGTAAGATTTTATTCTTTAGAGTTGTACAGAAATTTATTTTATAACCCAAGGTGTGATCTATCTTGGTCAATATTCCTTGTGCACTTATAAAAATGTACATTCTACTGTTGAGTATAGTGTTCTGTACATGTCACTTAGAGCAAATTGATTAATAGTATTGTTCACTCCTGTAGCCTACTGAATTCAGGGTTTTTTTTGGGGGGGGTGCTATCAACTGAAAATAGAAAAAATGTTAAAATATCCAGCTGATTTTAATTTCTCTACTTTTTCCCTCAGATTTATTGGCTTTAAATTTTTTTTAATTTCCATAGTTTATTGGGGAACAGGTGGTGTTTGGTTACATGAATAAGTTCTTTAGTGGTGATTTGTGAGATTTTGGTGTACCCATCACCTGAGCAGTATATACTGTACCCTATTTGTAATCTTTTATCCCTCACCCCCTTCCTGCCCTTTCCCCGTGAGTCCCCAAAGTCCGTTGTGTAATTCGTATGCCTTTGCGGCCTCATAACTTAGCTCCCATTTATGAGTGAAAACATATTATGCTTGGTTTTTCATTCCTGAGTTACTTCACTTAGAAAAATGTTCTCAAATCTCATCCACATCGCTTTGATTGTCATCAATTCATTCACTTTTATGGCTGGGTAGTATTCCATCATATATATGTGTGTGTGTGTGTGTGTGTGTGTGTGTATCTCAATCACAGTTTCTTTATCCACTAGTTGATTGATGGGCCTTTTGGCTGGTTCCATATTTTTGCCATTGCAAATTGTGCTGCTCTAAACATGCCTGTGCAAGTATCATTTTCATATAATGACTTCTTTTCCTCTGGGTAGATACCCAGTAGTGGGATTGCTAGATCAAATGATAGTTCTACTTTTAGTTTTTTAAGGAATCTCCACACTGTTTTCCATAGTGGTTGTACTAGCTTACCTTCCCACCAGCAGTGTAGAAGTGTTCCCTATTCACTGTGTCTACACCAACATCTACTATTTTTTGATTTTTTGATTATGGCCATTCTTGCAGGAGTAAGGTATTATCACATTGTGGTTTTGATTTGAATTACACTGATCATTAGGAATGATGAGACTTTTTTTTATATGGTTGTTGGCCATTTGTATATCTTCTTTTGAGAATTGTCTATTCATGTCCTTAGCCCACTTTTTGATAGGATAGTTTGCTTTATTCTTGTTGATTTGTTTGAGTTCATTATAGATTCTGGATATTAGTCCTTCATCAGATGTATAGATTGTGAGGTTTTTCTCCCACTCTGTGGGTTGTCTGTTTACTATGCTGATTGTTACTTTTAACGTACAAACCCTCTTTAGTTTAATTAAGTCCCAGCAATTTATCTTTGTTTTTCTTGCATCTGTTTTGGGTTCTTCTCGCCCAAGCCAATGTCTTGAAGGGTTTTTCCAGTGTTGTCTTCTATAATGTTAAAGTTTCAGGTCTTAGATTTAAGTCCTTAATCCATCTTGAGTTGATTTTTGTGCAAGGCAAGAGCTGAGGATCCAGTTTCATTCTCCTACATGTGGCTTGCCAATTATCCAAGCACTATTTGTTGAACAGGGTGTCCTTTCCCCACTTTATGTTTTTGTTTGCTTTGTCAAAGATCAGTTGTCTGTAAGTATTTGACTTTATTTCTGAGTTCTCTATTCTGTTCCATTGGTCTATGTGCCTATTTTTATACCAATACCATGCTGTTTTGGTGACTATGGCCTTATAATGTATTTTGAAATCAGGTAATATGATGCCTCCAGATTTGTTTTTTGTTTTTGTTTTTGTTTGTTTGTTTGTTTGTTTGTTTTTTACTTAGTCTTGCTTTGGCTATGTGGGCTCTTTTTTGGTTCCATATGAATTTTACAATTTTTTTTTCTAATTCTGTGAAGAATGATGGTGGTATTTTTATGAAAATTGCATTCAATTTTTAGATTGCAGTGTGGTCATTTTCAAAACATTGATTCTACCCATCTATGGGCATGGGATGTGTTTCCATCTGTTTGTGTCATTTATTATTCCTTTCAGCAGTGTTTTGTAGTTTTCCTTGTAGAGGTCTTTTACATCCTTGGTTAGGTATATTCCTAAGTTGTTTTTTTTTTTCAGCTATTGTAAAAAGGGTTGGGTTCTTGATTTGATTCTCAGCTTTGTCGCTGTTGGTGTAAGGAAGTGCTACATTGTGTACATTATTTTTTTATTCAGAGAACTTGCTGAATTCTTTTATCAGTTATATGAGCTTTCTGGAGGAGTCTTTAGGGTTTTCTAGGTAAACAATTATATTATCAGCAAACAGCGACAGTTTGACTTACTCTTTACCGATTTGGTTGCCCTTTCTTTCTCTTCTCTGCTCTGGCTAGGACTTCCAGTACTATGTGGAATAGGAGTGGTGAGAGTGGGACTTCTTTTCTTGTTCCAGTTCTCAGAAAGAGTGCTTTCAACTTTTCCCCTTTTCAGTATTATGTTGGCTGTGGGTTTCTCATAGATGGCTTTTATTTTCTTGAGGTATATCCCTTTATGCAAAATTTTCTGAGAGTTTTAATCATAAAGGGATGCTGGATTTTATCAAATGCTTTTTCTGCATCTATTGAGATGATCATGTGATTTTTGTTTTTAATTCTGTGTATGTGGTGTATCACATTCATTGACATGTATATTAAACCACCCCTGCATCCTTGGTATGAAACCCTCTTGATCATGGTGGATTATGTTTTTGATATGTTGTTGGATTCAGTTAGCTAGTATTTTGTTTAGGATTTTAGCATCTATATTCATCACGGATATTGGACTATAGTTTTCTTTTTTGCTTATGTCCTTTCCTGGTTTTGACATTAGGATGATACTAGCTTCATAGAATGATTTAGGGAGGGTTCCTCCTTTCTCTATATTGTGGAATAGTGTCAATAGGATTGGTACCAATTCTTCTTTGAATGTCTGCTAAAAATCTGCTGTGAATCTGTCTGGTCCTGGACTTTTTTTTTGTTGGTAATTTGTTAATTACCATTTTAATCTCATTGGTTATTATTGGACTGTTCAAGGTATCTGATTTTTCCTGACTTAAGCTATCAGGGTTGTATTTCTCCAGGAATTTATCCATCTCTTCTAGGTTTTCTTGTTCACGCACGTAAAGGTGTTCATAGTAGCCTTGAATTATCTTTTGTATTTCTATGATGTTAGTTGTAATATCTTTCAGTTCATTTCTTATTGAGCTTATTTGGATTTTTTCTCTTCTTTTCTTGCTAATGGTCCATCAATTTTATTTATTTTTCAAAGAATCAGCTTTTTGTTTCATTTCTCTTTTGTGAGTTTTTTTGTTTCGATTTCATTTAGTTCTGTTCTGATCTTGGTTATTTCCTTTCTTCTGCTGGGTTTGGTTTTGGTTTGTTCCTGTCTCTCTAGTTCCTTCAGGTGGGACCTTAGATTATCTATGCTGTGTCAGACTTTTTGATGTAGGTGTTTAGGGCTATGAACACTCCTCTTATCACCACCTTTGCTGTGTCCCAGAGGTTTTGATAGGTTGTGACACTGTTGTTATTCAGTTCAAAAATTTTTGTAATTTGCATCTTGATTTCATTTTTAACCCAATGCTCCTTCAGGAGCGGGTTATTTGATTTTCATGTATTTGCATGGCTTTGAAGATTCCTTTTGGAGTTGATTTCCAGTTTTATTCCACTGTGGTCTGAGAGAGTACCTAATATAATTTCAATTTTCTTAAATTTATGAGGGTCATTTTGTGGCCTAACATATAATCTATCTTGGAGAAAGTTCCATGCGCTGTTGAATAGAATGTATATTCTGCAGTTGTTTGATGGAATGTTCTGTTTGTATCTGTTAAGTCCATTTGTTCCAGGGTATAGTTTAAATCCATTTTTTTTTGCTGAATTTCTGTCTTGATAACCTGTCTTGTGCTGTCAGTGGAGTATTGAAGTCCCCCACTATTATTATGCCATGGTCTGTCTCGTTTTTTAGGTATATTAGTGATTGTTTTATAAATTTGGGAACTCCAGTGTTAGGAGCATATGTTTAGGATTGTGATAGTTTCATGTTGGACAAGGCCTTTTATTATTATATAATGTCCCTCTTTGTCTTTTTTGTTAATTGCTGTTGCTTTAAAGTTCATTTTATCTAATATGAGAATAGCTACTCCTGCTCGTTTTTGGTGTCCATTTACATGAAATGTCTTTTTCCACCCCTTTACCTTAAGTTTATGTGAGTCCCTATGTGTTAGGTGAGTCTCTTGAAGGCAGTAGATAGTTCGTTGGTAAATTCATATTCATTCAGCAATTCTGTATCTTTTAAGTGGAGCATTTAGGCCATTTACATTCATTGTTAATGTTGAGATGTGAGGTACCATTCCATTAATCATGCTATTTGTTGCCTGTATACCTTGGCTTTTTGTTCTTTGTTTTAGTTTTTTTTTTAATTGTATTTTTGTTTTATAGGTCCTGTGAAATTCATGCTTTAAAGAGGTTCTGTTTTGATGTGTTTCCAGGATTTGTTTCAATATTTAGAGCTCCTGTTAGCAGTTCTTGTAGTGGTGGCTTGGTAATGGTGAATTCTTTCAGCATTTGTTTTTCTGAAGAAAACTATCTTTCATTCATATATGAAGCTTAGTTTCAGTGGATACAAAATTCTTGGCTAACAATTGTTTTGCTTGAGGTGGCTGAAGATAGGGCCCCAATCCCTTCTAGCCTGTAGGGTTTCTGCTGAGAAATCTTCTGTTAATCTGATAGGTTTTCCTTTACAGTTTACCTGGTGCTTTTGTCACAGCTCTTAAGATTCTTTTTTTCGTCTTAACTGTAGATAACCTGATGACAATGTGCCTAGGCGATATCTTTTTGCGATGAATTTCCCAGGTGTTCTTTGTGCTTCTTCTATTTGGAGGTCTGGGTCTCTAGCAAGGCCAGAGAAGTTTTCCTCAATTATTCCCACAAATATATTTTCCAGACTTTTATATTGCTTTTCTTCCTCAGGAACACCAATTATTCTTAGGTTTGGTCATTTAACATAATCCTGACATCTTGGAGGCTTTGTTCATATTTCTTTATTCTTTTTTCTTTGTCTTTGTTAGATTGGGTTAATTCGAAGACCTTGTCTTCAAGCTCTGAATTTCTTTCTTCTACTTGTTTAATTCTATTGCTGAGACTTTTCAGAGCAATTTGCATTTCTATTAGTGTGTCCAATGTTTCCTGAAGTTTTGATTGTTTTTTATTTATGCTATCTATTTCCTTGAATATTTATCCCCTCACTTCTTGTATCATATTTTGGATTTCCTTACATTGGGCTTTGCCTTTCTCTGGTGCCTCCCTGATTAGCTTAATAACTAACTTCTTGATTTCTTTTTCAGGTAAATCAGGGATTTCTTCTTGGTTTGGGTCTATTGCTTGTGAGCTAGTGTGATTTATTGGGGGCGTTAAAGAACCCTGTTTTGTCATATTACCAGAGCTGGTTTTCTCGTTCCTTCTCATTTGGGTAGGTTCTGTCAGAGGGAAGGTCTAGGGCTGAAAGCTGTTGTTCAGATTCTTTTGTCCCACAGGGTGTTCCCTTAATGTAGTACTCTACCCCTTTTCCTATGGATGTGGCTTCCTGAGAGCCGAGCTGTAACGATTGTTATCTCTCTTCTGGATCTAGCCACTCTGCAATTCTACCAGGCTCCGGGGTGGTACTGGGGGTTGTCTGCCCAGAGTCCTGTAATGTGAACTCTCTGTGGTTCTCTCAGCCATAGATATCAGCACCTTTTCTGGTGAAGGTGGCAGGTGGGTGAAATGGACTCTGTGAGGGCTCTTAGCTTTGGTGGTTTAATGCGCTATTTTTGTGCTGGTTGGCCTCCTACCAGGAGGTGGTGCTTTCCAGAGAGCATCAGTAGTGTGTGGAGGAACAAGTGGTGGGCAGAGCCCTAGAACTCCCGAGAGTATATGCCCTTTGTCTTCAGTTACCAGGGTGGGTAGGGAAGGACCATTGGGTGGTGGCAGGGCTAGGCGTGTCTGAGCTGACTCCTTGGGTGGGTTTCGCTGCAGCTGCTGTGGGGGATAGGGATGAGATCCCCAGGTCAATGGAACTGGGTACGTAGGAGGATTATGACTGTTTCTACTGTGTCATTTAGGTTGTCAGGGAAGTGGGGAAAGTCGGTAGTCACAGGCCTCACCCAGTTCCCACTCAACCCAAGGCACCAGTCTTACTCCCACCATACCCCCTGAAATAGCACCGAGTCTGTTTCCAGGCAGTGGGCAAGCAGGGCTGAGAACTTACCCCAGACTACTTGCCTACCAGCAGCAAAAGCATATATGGCTTTCTTTGTTTCCCCGCCTGTGAAGTCTGGACACCAGATTCATGTCTTTCCCCGAGTTCTGACCAGGAGACTTCTCAAACAGTTCAAATTGCTATAAAGTTCAGCTGGAGATTTCCCTCTCCCTGTGGCCTTTTCCCAGCACCACTGGCCACCCTCCTAAAGAACTCCTGTATGGCCGGGCAAAAACAGCTTGATAGGGGACCCTACAAGATCCTAGGGCTTTTCCCACTGCTTCCTCTACCCCTGTATTTTGCTTTGCTCTTTAAATTGACTCAGCTCTAGGTAAGTTCAAATCTTCTCCCATAATCTAGGCCTTCAGCTTCTTCAGTGAGGGTGGCGGATGTTCAGGGGTGGATGTTTCCCACTTCCACAGTTTGGACACTCACAGTATTTGGGGTGTCTCCTGGGTCCTGCAGGATCAATCCGCTTTCTTAAAGGGGCCTGTGGGTCCTCTCAGGTTTCTTAATTTATTCCTGTAGTTGTTCTGGAATAATAATTCATGGAGAGAGCCTCCACACACTGCTCTGTCTGTCTGAGTAAGAGTTGCAATCTAGTCCTGCCATGGTTACTTTAAAATTTTGCATACCACCTGCATGAAAACATCTACTTTAGAGGACTATGCTTTATTTTTAGAAGTATAGTACCAAAGGTTATGTTTTTAGAAGACAATTGCATTCATTTCATCACAAGTAATGCCACACTAGAGAGTAAAATTCCTCAAATTGGTTGATTAAATGTAATTCTATTGAGAAAAGTAATTTCAGATAGGAGTTAGAGAAAACATAGTACCTACATTTTGATTGATTGGATCACAGTCAATGTTCTTGTCTTTTAGTTTAACCATATATTCAATCATTTTGTTTATCTTTGTTACACATAAACCAGAGTATATTAATTGAATTAGATAAATAAGCTTAAGAATATTGCATTTCTTATAATAGTTTCCCTGCTTATTTGGCTATTTTCCTAGCTTTTTAGAGCTACTAAGCATGACATTACTTAGCATCATAAATTATGCAATAACAGCGTGATCCATTGGGTGAAATTTTGAAGATTTCCAAACGGTTCCTTGTAGAATTGCAATACACACTGCCCACTTTTCAAGTAGATTGTTGTAAATTTCCTCACTTATTTAACTATAACATATTTTGCACCACTAATACAATATTTCCAAAAAGATAATTGTGAAAAGTCATTGTGGAATTAGTTCCTTATAATAATTTTCCCAAGGGTGTTAAGAAAGAGGTTTGAGCTTTCCAGCTGTGTGGAATCAGGTTTTGCTGTTTTTCCTTTGGTTCATTCTAGTGCATTTCTTAGGAAGAGAGTTTTGTGTAGACTTATAACAAAATTAATGTAAAAACATGATATTACATATGTATTTTACGTGTAATGGAAAGTAAAAATCAACCACTGGATTTGGAAAATTAATTTTATGTTAAAGATTTCATCAAAGGCCAATATGCAGACATAATTTGGAAACTTGCCTATTATTCTTACTACTCTTCTATTCTATGGTTTTAAATGAAATAAAAATAGTCTCTAACTGTTGACTCCTACTATGTGCTGTTCATCTCCTCCTGCCAATCTTTTTCTAAATATTCAATGTCCTTTTTAAATTTACTTATAATTTATTTTTAGGAGAGTATTATCTAGAAGCCCAGGGATCTTGAATATGCCTATGTCCCTTTGCAGTAAGAAATGTAACTTTCAACAAATGCATTAGCTTCTTCTAAATTACTGTTTACCTTCTTAACAAACTTTCAAAGATGAAGTTATTACCCCTATTTTATAAGAGAAAACATAGATGATGTTTTGGTTACCCCATAGAGATGGGATGAATCCCTCACCTAAAATTTGATTTGGATGTTGAGACTGATAATTCTACCTACACATACACCAAGAGGGCATGAAAATGGCTATTACCTGCATAATAAGACATTCTAGGAGGGAGCAGGGGTTAGCTCTCCAGCTGGTCCAGAAATGGCTTGAAAGAGTAGGGAAATGCTTGGTTTTAATGGTGGTTAGTTGCTTAGGTTGGGTCGTGTTTTCCAATGCACAGTCTAGAGATTCCATGGCTTGAACATTCTGATGTTGTCAAAGAAGAAAATACCCAGCCTTTCTTGTGAGCTTTCTCAGGCATTGCACAGAAAGGAAGTGGAATGGTGGGGCTTAACGGCTGTCAACAATCAACATAAAAAATGGCCTAAGACTCTTCATTCCACAAGGAATTCTATACATTTGGCAGAGCACAATCTACAAGGTTTGTTCCACGACACTCTGCTCAATAGGTAAGGGTTAATCCTAAGGTCAAAAGGCCTAAAAATAAGAATAAATAGACCACAGAAAATGGTGTTCACATATATGTTATCTCAGGCTGTGGATGTTCAGAATTCCCTTCCTATCTCTTCCTGAGTCCTTACTCCCAGGCCCCATAAATTCAGAGGAGTCACATGTTGCTGAATGTAGGACTATGAAGCAAGATATAAGATATAATTCTTAGTCAAGAAACTTTTTTTTTTTTTTTTTTTGAGACAGAGGCTTGCTCTGTTGCCCAGGCTGGAGTGCAGTGGTGCAATTTCAGCCCACTGCAGACTCCGACCCCAGGTTCAAATGATTCTTGTGCATCAGCCTCTCAAGTATCTGGGATTACAGCCTCATGCCACCACACCAAGCTAATTTTTGCATTTTTATTAGAGACGAAGTTTCACCATGTTAGCCACATTAGTCTCAAACTCCTAACCTCAATGATCCACCTGCCTCGGCCTCCCAAAGTGCTGAGATTACAGGCGTGAGTCACCATGCCCGGCCAAGAAACTGATTTTATCAACGTTTTTGATTTTCACTTCAGTATGACTCAGGAAATCATCAAAGTCTTCATAGAACTTCAGCTTCCTTGGGTCCATTCTAACATGGCAGAGTATGTATTATTATTCTGTGTCATTATTTTTGCGAACTCGCATATGAAATCTTGACTGACTGCCACTGTCTAGGTTTGTAGTTGTAAACACCTAATATGGAAGGGATTGTGCCCATCAGTCTAGGTCTCATTTATACTCATGAACACACAGAGGAAAAGCAATCATTACTTATGGGTCAGTATAATATTACTCTTACATAACCCAGTTCTGAAGGGAACTGTACACATTATCTAACTCCCTCATTTCACAAATGAGAAAGATGAGTCTTATCCAAACCAGCAAGTTCCAGAAATCAAAAAAGAGGTACAATGCTATAATTGCATTGTTTATATGAACTCCAAGAATATTAGTGCCAGCCAAATCTGGTGGTGATCTTTTTTAGAGAACCAAGTAGGTCCACTGAGAATGTTTCTATACCATGAACAATTAAGAAGCAATTTCTCGCTTGTTAAAAGTTACATTTCCTCAAAAGATTAAAGCTAGAATTTAAAAATAGAATTTTTGGGTCGTGCTTGGCAGTGTCTGAAACAGTAAATACTGATGTTGCTGCTGCCAATACCATCAATACTAATTACTGCTATTATTCTAATACTATCATGAATGCTGCATTTTAAATTTGAAATAAAATTAAGTGTGATGGTTATTTGTGAAGGCTATAGAGTAAGTAAACATTGGGTTTCAGCCTTTCTATCTACTAGTTTTGTGATTATATCACCAACTATAAGAGTTATAAATTGAGGTCTGTGATAAAAGTCATGAGACATACATATTTAGTTAAATAAATACTGATTTACCTGATTATATTATTTTATTAAGACACATTCTGCTGCAAATATGAAAAACGCTATTGTTTAAACACAGGTTTAAACAATAAGGAAATTGATTACTGCAAACATCAGGATAGCTAAAGGTAGAACAGATTTCTAGCCTGGTTCATTCAACTACCTGGTTTTGCCTTCAAGAACCAAGACCTCTATCTTATCTCTCTGCCATTCTTAATCTTGGTTTTATTCTTGAACTGTTCGTCATAGGAAGCAGAAGATCTGTATTTCCTATCCTGATGCATCAACATTAAGAGCAAGGTTTCTCAACCTGAGAACTATCAATATTCTGCATAATTCTTTGTCATGGGGCCTGTCCTGTACGTGGTAGTATACGTAGCAGCATCCCTGATGTCTATTCAGTAGAATTCGTTAGCCCCTTTCCAAATTATCCCCTGGTTATGAAGCTCAAAATGTCTCTAGACAGTGATAAATGGCCTTTGGTGGGAAGACGGGTCAAAATTGCCATCAGTTGAGAACCACCTTTATTCCCAGAGAAAGAGGAAAAGGAAGAGAAGACAGCAACTTTATTCCCAGAAGTTCTGCATGAGTCTTTCCTCATGCTTAAGGATTGGATCACATATACATGATGGAACCCATCAGTCACATAGACATTGGGAATGGAAACCTGAACACAATTGTGGTCCTTTTAGGAAGGGTACTGGGGTAAGGAACCAATAGTATCATCTCTAGTATCTAATTATCATTTGTTGCCACAGCAAACTCCCAAATCTCAGAGACTTAGCATCATAAAAGTGCTATTTATTCTTCACTTAAATTCTCACATGGGCAGTGGGATTTTTCTCCATCTTGTAATTTCAGGAGCTTACAAACAGGAGAAGAAAAAGACAGAGAAAACACACTACTTGTTTTTAACCTTTTCATTTTGAACCAATTTCAGACTTACAACAAAGTTACAAAAATAGTACAGAGGGTTCCCTATTAAAATAGTACAGAGGGTTCTGTACAGCTTCCCTTAATGGTAACATCTCCTATAGTACAATTATTAAAACCAATAAATTACACTGGTAAAAAAATGACTAACTAAACTACAGGTCTTATTAGAATTTTGTCTATTTGTTCACTAATGTCTTTTTTCTCTGACTGCCTTAGCCTGGAAGTGAAACAAACCACTTCGCAGAGTCATTGACCAGAACACATTACACAATGCTAATCAACTGCAAAGGAGAATATGAACAGAGAGGAGGACATGGATATTTTGTGAGAATAAATGACCTCTTCCTCATATTTTTTTAGACAGGTATATGACTGAATACACTTAATCTCTCCAGAAATTCCAGAGATATATGTAAAAGCCAGAGGACTCTAATTTCAACAACCTGTGCAAAGTGGGTGTTGCCATAGCTGAGGCACTGCCCATTTGTAGCTTTCCTTATCTATTGAAGTGTGTTGCTGGTTGGAACTTGTGAGGAGGCTTCTGGTTAAAGTCCAGTTGTATCATTTGTCCTGGTCAGTCTTCCAGGCCATAAGCAGACACACATTTGTGCCTCTCCACCTCCAAAAATAGCTGTAGAGTTACCTAATTATCTACATTGAAAATTCATAGTTGGCCATCTTTCTGAGATGAACTTTCTTTACAATAACTTTAAATGAGAAGCTTGACTGCTCTGAAGTTCATTCTCCTTTGCTGCAAAATAGAGATAACAATGCCTCACATAGTGGATGAAAGTATTATATGAAATAACGTATATAAAGCAAGTAGAATGTTTGAGCCATAATACGTGTTAAAGAAATAAAAAAATAGTTATGGTATTATTATTGCAATGTTTTTGTGCATCACCAATTAAAACAGATTATTCAATAATGTTCTATAAATTTTAGTCTTTTTAAGATACACTTGATGTGTTTAAAAGGTTCAGTTTGCAGATCATTATTAATATAATTTTAAATTTACATGTTAGGATGTTTGTGTAAACTACAAGAAAACCAGCTGAGTTAATATAATCTATTTATTTGGGAAAATAAGATTTAAAGAGAAAATTTAAAAGTCCAGGATTCAATTCTCTGTGGGCTCTTCATCCTTTTATGATATTTTTCATTGACTTTTCTCCCTCCTAATAATAAATTGTGTTTGTTTCTGTAATATGTTTTCTCACACTATCTCCAGAGAACTAAAAAACTGTGATATTTCTAATATAGGCTTTTTTGCTTCCCAGAAATTGGGCTAAAAGAAGGTGAGAATCTATCAGAGTTGCCAAAAGAGAAATGCTTGGTGATAAATTATCTATCTGAGCATGTACAATGGACACACAAAATATTCTGAAACTGTCAAATCAAATGTGAGCATGATTAGAATAAAGCTGCTCGATGTCAGGGCCTTGCTCAAATAAAAGTGACAAGTTCTGACAGAATTTCTGCCTGGTGTGGATGAATGACTGAGATGATATCTGAAATTGCTTTTTTGTCAAGGAAACATTAAAGAGTCAAAGTTTTTCTGCTGTATACCATCTGCAGACAACACCTTGGTAAAGAAAACCACCACAGTTTCCAGAAGCCACACATTTTGCAGACTCCACTGGTGTGGTCTCTCTCCCACCACCTTTAACATATGACTGGACTTAGTCTTTGACCGTCTGTGGGTAAAACAATCGGGTGGTTTTCAATACTGCAAGAGAAAGCTGAGCTCAAAGGTAACTACACCCTGATCTTCAGAGTGGTCATTCTCTTCACCAACCCATTTTCCTAGATGGCAGTTTGCCTTCTCAGAGGACGGTGAGGTGCCTTCTTAGACAAGAGTGATGTGCCTTCTTAGAGAAGAGGAAGCCATACTAGGATTACAGCGGATTTCAATTCCAAACCTATTGAGAACCAACTGCATGACTTGAATAAACCTTTTTCTTTCTCTTTGAATTATTTTACTCCATATAAAATAGAAAGAATGCTCTCAGCATTTATTAGATCCATGCTACATGTTGGTTACTGTGGTAAACATTTAAACTTATAAGATGTGGTCACTGTCTCTAAAGGTTTAATAGTTCATCTGTTTATTGAGCAATTGAAAATATAAAGCATTATATGAATACAAAGATTCACCAGAATATTTTATCTAAAATAAATAGGTGTGTGTGTATAATTAATAACTCTCACCTATTTATCTGCCTGTCTGTATCTTCCTCTTCTTCTCAATGTGTGTGTCATATACTATACAGAAATACACAGTGAGAGAGGGAGGAAGATACAGAAAGAGAGAGAGACTAATAAGAATAAAGCTTGTAATTATTACCATTTTCGGTGTGATTACATGTGACATTTTATTTTGAATTTATGTTTTTAAGATGAATATACATTGCTTTTGTAACAAAATAAGCAAGTAAAAGTTATTTCATCTCTATTCAGTAAAAAGACATTTTACATGAATCCAATCTTGCATTTTCCATTATCATCTGACTTTCATTTTCTCTAGCTAACACAAATATGGCCTCTCTCCTCTCTTGCAGACTATTTTCTTAGAAGGTAGGGTTAGAGAAAATGGTGGTGGCATGTGATACAGATTCTATGTCAAATAATTTTAGAATTTCTAAGAATTCAGTGAGTAAGTAGAAAATCAGACATCATGGCCTACATAGAATGGCTGAGAGAAGCTCTTTTGTTCACAGCCTGATCCTGAGTGCCCAGCACCATGCCCCCCATATAATAGGATATAAAGAGAAAAATAAAACCTTGGCTGAAGCAATGCAACCATGAACTTCAGGCCCAAGTTTTGGCTGTGACACGTGACTTAGAAGAATCTTCTTTTTTTTTTTTTCAGGTCTCAGTTAGTAAAAAAGCTAGCTTTAAAGATTCAAATAGCCAAATAGCCACACTTTGGATAGACACAAAACTTTAAACTGGGTACAAACAAGTGTCCATCTCTATTGCCTTCATGTAATACCCCTCTGGTCTTCTAGGGCTCAGTTGAAGACAACGGACTTTAACATAAATAATCATTCGTTGTGACAAGATACCTTGTGCTAGCTTTCTGTTTCCATATAACACATTTCCACAAAACTTAATAGCTTAAAGCAACAAACTTAAAAATCTCACACAGTTTTGGAGAGTCAGAAATCCAGCAGCTTACATGGATGTTCTGGTTCATGGTTGCCGTCAAAACTGGGCAGGGGCTGCAGTCATCTCAAGGTTAGACCAGTTGTTGACCAGAAGCTTCAGTTCCCTGCCACATGTGCCTTTCCACAGGCCTGCTTCCCACATGGCAGCTACTTCACCCAGAGACAGTATTGAGAGAGAGAGAGAGCACACTGATGTCTCAACATTTCTATGCCCTGTCTCAGTCACACATCATTAATCCCATTTTGTTAGAAATAAAACAATAAGTCTAGCCCTGTTCAAGAAAGGAGTTTCAAAGAATGTGCTGACATTAAAAAAAAGTTGTTTTATTTCTTTTTATTTTTGGTAGAGACTGGGTCTCACTATGTTGCCCAGTCTGCTCTCAAATTCCTAGTCTTAAGTGATTCCCCGGCATCAGCCTATAAAATGCTGGGATTGTAGGCATCAGCCACGGTGCCCTAGTTGACATATTTGTAAAATCTTCACAGATGGCTCAATATGGGGGGAAAGTTGGGATTATAGTTCTGGCTTCCAGCAGTAATGAACTGTCCCTTACCTATTCCATCACTGGGCCAGAATCTGTTGTATTTGCACTCAGTTAATGCTGTGAAGCTGCTATGTAAGCCTCAGTGGATGCGCTGGTGAGTACTGAGATCGATTTAGGAGTCCACAGAGATCAGTTTCATTTTCTTGGATGGTTTCACTAACACTCATGCAATTCCAAAAACATGATGAAATTGTTTTTCAGTCCTTTATTGGTCTATCCTTGCCTGTCCAGACTGGTTTTCTTCTTCAATTCCACAGGGAAACAAAAATCAGAAGACATCTTTTCAGGTTAAATATTTGTTAAAGTTTTACCTCCCCTTCTCACAGACAGAGGGAAAACTATATTTATCAAACATGAAAAGAAATGCCTTTCTGAAGCACTATACTGTTCTCACTCTCCTTTCTCTTCCCTGACCCCAAACATTCACAGAAGCTATTATTTTAATAAGGTTGCTTTATAAAAATGACACATAAATTAATCAAGCAAAAACTGTGTTTCCTGGAAGCTAAAAAAACTAGTAATAATTATACTATTACATTCTCATCTTATGATTGCACAGGACTGCACAGTTTATAAATAACTCTTCATATGCTATTTTATTTAATCTTCATGAAAAATCTTTGGGATAGCTAAAATAGGTTTAATCCCTCCATTGTACATATAAATAGAGACATACAGATGTTTGGTATCTTGGATAAAGTCATATAAGTTCCACCTTAAATATGGTTTAGAATAAATTAGTGGAGAGATGGGGGAGGGGAAGGGAAAGAGAGAGAGAGAAAGAGAGAGAAGAATATAGAAGACTGAGATTAATAACAAGTATCATCACACAGCAGGCCTCTGACAGAACCCATATCAGAAAATAGGATTTTCAGGTGGCACAGCTGACTCTCCAAGTTAATACAAACAAGAAGGAGAAAACTGTGAAGACTTTTCAGGTGTGATGAGTCACAGTACTGTGGAAAATTTTGAGCCTTAAAACCTGCATTTCACCCTGGAATTTCTCCTCCATTTGCTGGGAAACCAGTCCTTCTTGACTACAGTCAAAAGCATAGCCAAGGACAAACAAATTAGTTAGAAACATGTTCTCCAAGTCAGTCTATGAATTATCCCAGTGATTCTCAAACTTGAGAAAGTATTGAAATTATCTGAAGATTCCTTAAACCACAGAATCCTGACCCCCTTCCCCAAAAACTGTTGGATTCAACAGCTCTTCAGTGGGGCCCATTAATTTGCATTCTTTAACAAATTTCCAGATGGTGCTGGCGTTGCTTCTCTGGAGATCTGACTTTGAGACCCCCTAGATTGTTCTGTTTGTTTCTATGCTTCTTGAGTCCTCCTCTGGCCTTGGCTTTCCCAACTTGATATTCAGCTTGTGTGCACTGACAGTGGCCAGCCTCAACGCTGGCCCTATCGAGGGTAGTTTTTCATTTTATTATCTAAACTGGGACACTTTTGAAAGTGAAGGCAATACTAGTAATAACTACTACACGGGGATTGTCTTAATAAACAAGAATATATATCCAAGCCCTGAAAGCACTAATTTGATTCGACTCAATCCTCTACATACATTTTATTCCAAATGATTATTTACATAACTAATAATTGAGTTAGGTTTATAGAAATATAAATATAGATATATACACACATATGCTTATATATACACACATATATACATACACACACACACACACACACACACACACACGCTTTTTTTTCATCCCAGTTCCTGGAACATAATGGTAGATTCTCCGAGGAACATCTTCGAGAAGAAACGATGGATATATTCCCTCTGCTGCTGGCTGAAGAGCGCTAACAATTATTTTGTCTCCTTAGGAGATTGCCTCCTAAGAGGAGGCCAACTTCCTCTCCCAAAGTCATGCCTTCTTCCAAGTACAACCTGCATCAGTGACTGATCACAGGATACATAGGCTCATTCCCTTGCTCTAACTTGTGAAGACTCCAAAGGGCCATCCCAGCTCTAGAGAGGCTTCTTGGGGTCGGCTGAGGCATCTACTGAGACTGCATCACAGCTCAACTTCTTCCTCTGATCAAAACTCCTTTCTTTTCATAAGTATTGATCCTAGTTGATGTCTTGCATACTAATCTTTTTCTCAGAGTTGTTGCTTCCTGGGAACTCAACTTGTGACACACACAATAAATATTCAATAAGATGAGTTGCTGTTAGTGACTACATTTTCTTCAGGTAAAGTTTCATCCAGTGGCTCCCTTAGACATTGTTATAATCATACTACTGTTTGATCTATAGCTACTAAAATTACTATTGTAAATCCGGTAACTAAACAGCTTTCATAGAATGTACATAGTAACCTTCTACTTGGTAAATAGTGATACATGCTTCATCTTGAAGCATAATTAAGGCCTGCTCTCATTAGGAGGCTTTGTCCACGTGATGCCAATCGCTGGAATGATATGGTGCGTATGCAACTGTGAGTTCTCATACTCACTATGAGTCTTACAGATGAGTCTTACAGATGAGTGCACTTGATCCCTGGACAACTCCAGGGTTAAGGGTGACAACCCCCCTCCTTCCACACAGTAAAAAATCCACATGTAACTTTAGATCCCCCCAAAACTTAACTACTAACAGCCTACTATTGACTAGAAGCCTTACCAATAGCATAAACTGATTAACATACTTTGTATGTTATAGTATTATGTAGTTTATTTTACAATATAGTAAACTAGAGAAAATAATTTGTTATTAAGAAACCCATAAAGAAGAGAAAATACATTTATAGTACTGTACTGTGTTTATTGATACTATAACTTTAAGTCATCTGTTTATAAGATAAATCATCTGTCTGAGATGGTGGGCAACCACAGCTGCAGACCTCAATCTGTGGTGCATAGCAAGCAATTCAGCTTGTTCGTGTAATGTCATGACTTTTCTCTGCTTCTTGGGAGCACTTCCATCATCACTAGTGGCATTTTGTATGAGTCCCACGGTGTTATTCAAGGTTTATGATAGTGTACTAAACACAATAAAAAAATTGCGAGAACCATGA
This sequence comes from Homo sapiens, assembly GCF_000001405.40. Taxonomy (NCBI): domain Eukaryota; kingdom Metazoa; phylum Chordata; class Mammalia; order Primates; family Hominidae; genus Homo; species Homo sapiens. The sequence continues at coordinate 162,201,845 of NC_000005.10, forward strand.
GAGATCACCTTTTACTGAAATGCTCAATTTACTAGAGAGAAGGGTTGCTCACACAGAGATGATTAGCATCACATGGCATTTTAAGTGTATACTCACAACTCTGAGCTCAATGCAATAGCAACAAAAGGAGAAATTGTTCTAGTAGTACAGTATGTACTACAGTTAATTTTATACAGTGATGATTTAATATTGCACTTTTAAGTTTGTTTACATTTTTTCTTGATGGAGAATGGTGCCATGAATGGTTTGTGTGTGTATAAGTTTGATAAATTTTAACTTTATATAATAGATTTGTGTATATTTAATGATAGTAAATGACAAAATAGACTAGTGTCTTATAAATATATCTTATATATTCATGACATCTCTAACTTTTTCTGATTTTTTTCAATATTTCTAGGCTACACAGTTTGTCTGCAAGTTTATTTAAATTGTCACAATCTCCAAAAATTTTTCTAGGTTTATTGAAAAAAATCCATATATAAGTGGACCAGCATGGCTTAAACTCATGTTGTTCAAGGGTCAACTGTGGTATGATTTTTCCCCATTCTACAGTTTGGACTATTATATATATTCACTGTGAATTGCAGTGTGTGTATGTGTGCATGCATACATGTATACATGATGATGTCAGATGTTGAGCAACTCTCAGTGTAGTGAAGCCATACACGCAAGCTTTCATATTTAGCTTCATTTCTTTGCATGTGAGCTAATGAGATGGGTTGGAAGTTATTCAAATTTCCTTGAGAACTGCCTGTAAAAATATGTGATATTCTTTCTAAGAGGAAGACATGTTAGATTTACTGTTGGTTAATATAAACCCCAATCTGTGAGGTGGAGACATTTATACTGCTTGGCAGTGTTAAGATCAAGCTTACAAAGAGGCTATAAATTTCTTAATCATTGGCAGAAGCTAAGCTTCCTTTTTTATGTAATTTCTAGGCTTCCACTTTTTTTTAACCTCATTGACAGTTTCAAATGGCTTGGGACTCTAAATAAAGGTCTGGCCCCATAACTGTCTCATCCTTTTACATGCTTCCTGACAGATTTTTTAAAGAGGTGAACAATTTATTATCTCTATCTGGGTTTAAGAAAACCAATTCTCAAATCTGGACCTTTTTGTATGAATGCATTCTAAGAGCTGTAGGTATGGCCCTGAGTACTTTTCAATAACATAATTAAAACTCACCTGGGAGAGTTTACAGGGAGAGTAATGAATGGAATTGGAGAACAAGAACTCAAGAGAAAAAGCAGATAGCACTTTTAGGTCAAGGTTTGTTAACACTGGCCCTGATATTTGGGACTGGATAATTCTTTGCTGTGAGGGGCCATCCTGTGCATTTTACACATCTTTAATAAGACTCCCCAACCCTCTGAATCGTGACAGCCAAAGATTTTTCAGATATTCCAGAAAGTTCCCCATGGAAAGGGGCAACATTGCTCCAAGTTGGCAACCACTGATTTACATGTTAAGTAGCAAATGATGCAAAGACCCCACCAATAATCTAAATGATCTTCTCTTTACTCCAAGTAGCACCACTGAGGGCAGAAATCTGGTGACCTGGCCTCCATTACATCATTTAACATCTATTTATTGAATAAATACTGACTGTATTTTCCAGCATTTTGCTAGGTCTACAAAACTTGGTTCCTATCTTCAAAGAGCCTACACTCAACTGAGGAAGACAGACAATTATATATCTGAATACAAATAATGGAAGTCTTATGAAGGAAAATGAAAGCTGGTATGAGATGGTAACAGACAGGGTCTGCCCTAGAGTTGTAGTCATAGAAGGACTCCTTGAGCTGCAAATGTTGTAGACAGTATCTGAAGATCTAATAAGGGCTGACCAGAGATCTAGCTCTGCTTTCCTGGCTGAGTCTACTACTTGTTTTAAATTGCACTGTTCACAAGGCATTTGGACCCTTTATTCTTCAGTTCTTTCTTTCTTAGTTATTTCTGAGGGTCTTATGCTTGCTAGTGTGAGAGAGAAGAGATGGGTCTGGGAGGCTGCAGGGCTCCCTAATCAAAAAATTTACCCCCATGACTATGGTGCAGTGGCAATTCTTCTCACAGTTGCCCTGGCTAGTCAAGACTATCTTCGGGTTTTTGTTTGTTTATTTTGCTTTGTTTGTTATTTTTATTTTTCAACACATGCCATCACCCCCTCCCCCGGCTTTTTTAGAATAATAAAAAATATATATTATTGAATACATAAATACTATTTCTAAAAGCAAATCAAAGCAATTATTTTATTGAATCTGCCTTTTCAAATCATATTCTTCTTTCCCTTCTGAATAAAATTTGGAGAGAAGGAGTTGCATTCTGCTCCAGAGTTTCCAGGCTGGGGATCATGAACTCGATGGCCTTCTCATTCTGCTTGTATTACTCTGTTCTCACTCTGCTAATAAATTCATACCTGAGACTGGGTAATTTATAAAAGAAAGAGGTTTAATTGACTCACAGTTCCACATGGTTAGGGAGGCATAACAATCACGGCTGAAGGAGAATGAGGAGCATCTTACATGGTGGCAGGCAAGAGAGCGTGGGTAGGGGAACTGCCCTTTTTAAAATCATCAGCTCTCATGCAACTTATTCACTATCATGAGAACAGCACAGGAAAGACCCACCCCCATAATTCAATTACTTCCCACCACGTCTCTCCCATGACACATGAGAATTATGGGAACTACAATTCAAGATGAGATTTGAGTGGGGACACAGCAAAACCATATCATTGTTACTACACATTTTGTTGTGTAACAGAAACCTGGTATGGGACGGGGAGGGAACCACCCTTCTCCAGACAGGGCAAAAACATTTCCTTTACTATTTTGTAAATAGTTCTAAAATTTACCACTTAGTTAATCACATTAGTTTAGCCTTAAAGGCCCTAATGAGATGCAAAGTTGACAGATGGGATAACATATTAAACCTGTTCATGTCCATTACCATGAAAACTGGCATGAATTAAGTGGACTCATTAGGCAGAAAGAGCAGGACCCTAAAAATGCAAACTGAAACCACAGTGAGATATCATCACATACAAGTTAGGGTGGCTATTACCAAAAAGTCAAAAGAAAACCAATGTTGTTAGGGATGTGGAGGAAAGGGAACCCTTGTGCATTGTAGGTTGGAATGTAAATTAGTATAGTCATTATGAACAATTCCTCACAAAATTAAAAATGAACTACTAGCAATCCCACTCCTGAGTATATATCCAAAAGAAATGAAATCAGTGTGTGGAAGAGATACCTGCACTCCCATGTTCATTATAGCATTTTTCACAGTAGCCAAGGTATGAAAACAACCTAAATGTTCATGGACAGATACATAGATAATATTCATTAGACACATGTATATATTTTGTGTGTGTATATGTAAATATATATATTCATGTAAATGTCGATGTGTACATGTATATACATGCATATGTATATACATGTACATGTATATACATGCATATGTATATACATGTACATGTATATACATGCATATGTACACACACACAGACACACACACACCCTTACCCACACAATGAAATATTATTCAACCTCAAGAAAGAAAGAAATCCTGTTACTTTCACCAAAATGGACGAAACTTGAGTTCCTTATATTAAATGAAATAAGCCAGGCACAGAAAATTAAATACTGCATTATATCATTTGTATGTGGTAAGTCAAATTCATAGAAGCAAGAGTAAAATAGTGGCTGCCAGGGTAGGGTGGGGGATTGCGGAGATCCAACAATGGTGATCAAAGAAAAGAAACTATCAGTTATACAGGATGAGTAAGTTTTAGAGATCTAACGTACAGCATGGTGACCATAGCTGGTAAAATGTATTGTATACTTGAAATTTGCTAAGAGAGTAGATCTTAAGTGTTCTCACCACACACACACACACACACACACAGGCACACACAAATGGCATCTATACAAAGTGATGGTTATGTTAATTAGCTTGATTGTGGCAATCATTTCACAATGTATACATATATCAAGACATCACCTTGTATACTTTAAATACATGCAATTTTTATTGTCTTCAGTTATATCTCAATAAAGCTGAACAAAAAGATTATGAAAAATGGGGGGATGGGAAACAGGACCCTAAGGTCATAGAACAGAGGAGACAGCTTCTCTTCAGTAGGGGTGATAGGAGTGTCAGGGAAAGACACTGACCTACAGGGAAACCTGAGACAAGGATGCTTCCAAATTTCTCAGCAGGGAGGGATACAGGAGAGGAGCCACAGAAATGGAGGAGGAATGCATAGAGAAGAAAAAATGATTTCTCCCCCAGGACAAACTTCACCTCACTTCCAATCAAGCTGTTTTCAGAAAACACATGGGATGCAAAATCCAAGCCCTTTTGTCTTTCTCCTTCTTCAAATAAAAAGCAAAATAGGCATTAACACGCAAAGGGGTCACAAAACCTCAAGTTTTTGCCCATCTTAGAGGCCCTGCCTCTAAGGGAGGATGAGAGAAGCATAATAATTTGACACTCAGTATTGTTGGTTAAAGAGAATGTTCTACCCACAGACAGCCTGAGATATGGCCAGAGTCCTCTTTAAAATTAAAGTCTAAGAGACTGAAAACTTCCTGAAGCAGTTTCCAAACAAAATAAATAGGCAGGTGTTTATGCCACCCTGATTTTGTTTAGGATTTGCTAGGTGACTACTAAACATTTTATTTAAAAAAATTACTTTTGCCATGTAAGAAAACTTAATGATTTTTCTAAAACTGAAAAGTTCACTGCAGTCTCATTGAACTATTCCTTAAAGAACAGTCCAGGACAGCAAGCTAAGCTGCCAAGTGATGACAGTCGTGATAGCCCACAGCTCTGAGCAGGGAGGTAAGGGGAGCGGTGTCAAGTTAAATCTGTCAGAAGAAGTTGAGAAACCTGATAAAGGTATAAAATAGTCAGGATGCAGGAGAAGGGAACCCAACTTCTCCATTAAAAAAATAGCTTCCCTTTAAGAAACCGAAAGAGATATGAGGAACAGCAGCCACCTTGGGGCACCACTTCTAGGTTGATCTACCTGAAATCTGTTTAAGCAAAAACATAATGAGCACTTACACTTGTGTGCTAGAATTAAAAAGGCATCACCTGAAAATAATGTTATTGAGCATTTTTTATATTGCAAGGCACTGAAATAAGCACTTTATGTTAACTAACATTAATCTCCAAAACAAATCTATCAGGTTGGTATCATTATTCATATTTGTAGGAAACTGAGGTGCATAGAGTAACATATGAGCAGATGCATGTGAGGATGCAGGTTGGCCTAAATCCAGACAAGTGCACTTTGAACAATGACACTTAGGTTAAATCAATAAAGGAGCAAAGACACCATTGATTCTCATTATTTGTGGTAGTTATGCTATATAAAGTCATTCTAAAAAATGTAATTAGCAAAGGCTGAACCATTGCTTCTGGGGGAAATGGAGGGTGAAATTTCTACAAACCTCTGGTCACAACATTTTCTTTTTCTTTTTTTGGGGGGAGTTGGGGGTGGGGGGCAGTGTTTCACTCTTGTTGCCCAGGCTGGGGTGCAATGGCACAATCTCAGCTCACTGCAACCTTCACCTCCTTGGTTCAAGTGATTCTCCTGCCTCAGCCTCCCCAGTAGCTGGGATTACAGGCACGTGCCACCAGGACTGGCTAATTTTTGTATTTTTAGTAGAGATGGGGTTTCGTAGAGATGGGGCCATGTTGGCCAGGATGGTCTCAAACTCCTGACCTCAGGTGATTCACCTGCCTTGGCCTCCCAAAGTGCTGGGATTACAGGTGTGAGCCACCATGCTTGGCCCACATTTTCAACTGATAAATATATAACCTTGTTTTACATGTTTCTATTTACAGAAAACTCATGTAATACACCATTGATGCATTAACACTGAGCTTATGGCCAATAGCACTATAGCTTCCATCTATACACACATTTTCTCCCTTATCATACACACATTTTCTCCCTAAGACACATCACAGCCTTCTTACTCTTAGGAACACTACACAGCACTTTAGCACTCTGATTGGGGGCCATTTTAATGACAAAATCATCAACAGAAAGTCAAAAATGGGAAAAATGTGGCACTAAATTGACCACTAAAAGAAAACTTGTTTACAGAATGAGAGCTGAAACAAAATGGAAGAGTTCAATCTCATTTGGGAATGTGAACTTCTGGTAACAAATTTTTCACTGGACTTTTCGCATCTCCAGTGACTGTAAAAGTGCTGTATCAATTTGGGGATTACATATCAATTTTGGAGAGTAGGTGAATTCATAAATACAGAATTCAAGAATAATATTGATGAACTATGTGCATTCTGCCCATCCCCATAGCCTGGTACAAATAATGTTCTGGAGAGCAGAAAAGGGGAGAAGGATGACAAGAAAACCGGAAAGAGAGGCTCAATAGAAAGGAAGATCTATGTTGCTGACATCCTTGGTTTTAGTAGCTCAGTTTTTGCAGGATTTCTTCTCTTGAGGGTCCTGTGTTGTAAGTAACTGACAGGCTTATTTCCTGAAGCAGAAACCCTGCATTCCTTGGTCCCCTCTTGTGTTTTCCAGATCTTTCAGAAATGAGGACTTGACTTGTCCCGTCTCTAATTCCTTGGCAAATCCAGGAGTGCTGTTTCTCAACACAGTCATTATTGTGTTGATACTGTTTTCAGTCTTTCCCATATCTCATTACCCTTATTCAGAAATGATCTGATCACCTAATGCTTCATTTTAGAAACTCATCTACACAAATGAACAAAATGCATTACTTAAACTGATTTATCTACTGAGGTTAAAGAAACCCAGGGGTAGGTGTGGCATTTAAGCAATCCTGGAATAAAGATGACACCCCCAAATGATGGCTCAGGACCTTACCTCTCTCTCGAACTCAGCTCTCTTTTACTGTGCTAACCCACACTCAGAGAGTCCCTGTGGTCACCCAATGGCAAACAGAGACAACAAAGGCAAAATCTTTCCAACTTCAGCTCAAGAACAAAGATGTGGACCCCTTTTCTGGTATTCTTAACAAAGACCTTAGAACTTACCTGCCGTTATTTAAACTGTACTGATTGAAATCTGCATGTGTTCATCCTGATTCACATAAACTGAGACTGTTTGCATGAGGGAGGAGCATCTCCCAGTGACAACTGAGGGGTTTTTTAGAAGCCGGACTCCTCTGTGTAGGCAAACACAAATGAATGCTACATAGGTGAAGTGAGGTTCATCTGCCCTGCAAGCTGGCCTCAGAGGAGTTACTCTTTTCCAGAGGATCTGTCTGTAAGTCCTGAGCAGCCCCTAACGGTCAGTAGTGGCCAGATGAGGGCAGTAGAGAGAGAAGACTCAGTGACAGCCTCAGACCACAGGAAGCTATGATGGAGTGCTCATTGCTCTGGGTACATGTCAGAAAATGCGAGGCTGATTTGAAGCTTCCTGCCTGTACCCACTAGGGCATTATGACTGTCACGCACAACTGGCTTTCTGCTCCCTGAGGATTCTCTCTGGCTGCCAGAGCCTGCTCTCCCCAAACCTCTGGCAGGTTTGAAGGGCCAGAGAGTTAACACTCCTTGGGAGCAGCTCCCTGCCCCACACCCCTCGCCAGTGTACCCTCCTATGGGTTGACTCTGAGGCACATGTGCCACACTGACTTACAGCTTCATCCTAGTGGGGATGAAAATCCAGTGAATTGGAGAAACAATGCACTTTCCTTCTCTGTCTCACTCCCCTGCTCCTCTGCCAGTGCCTCTGGGATCACCTCCCAAATAAACCACTTTCCTTGAACCTTGTCTCCCTGTCTGCAAATGCCCATATGGACCATGATGGCATAGGATCCAGGATTTTAAATATTTTTGCAAGAATGCATATTTTCTGTTGCTGTGTTCTCTCTACTATAGAATAAAAATCAAGGAGGGGATGGATAATCTCCATGCTGGGAAATCCACTGTTAACATATTTTCTAGAAATAAATGAAAAGAATATATATTTATGAAGAAAAATGTAAATAGCATGATAGTATAAAATATAAAAACTAAATTTGTATTTTCTCACCTTCTTCCAATAGTAAATTCTGATTAATTCTCTTGTAATTCCTCCCACAAAAAAGAGAATATACAGATAAAGCAAAAGATAAAAGAGGAGAGAGTGTCAGAGAGAGGTACAGAAGGAGAGAGCATTTGCAAAGCTTTCGGTATAGAGCTGGTTACTAAATAAATCAGTGTCCTTAACACTTTCTTCAAACAATAATTATATGTTTGAATATACTTCAAGTAACAGAACCTGCACTGTAAATAAACATATATACAGGCATGTTTAAATGATGATGTCGGTCTGGCTGCTGGATATGCCATAGACTAACTCAGTTAACTCACCAATAAAAATTCAAATGAAGTCCTCTTTGCTAATGAATAAAAATGAGCAGCACTAAAATTTAATTACATCCCTACAAGAATATTTTGTGTCTGAAGTAGCCAATATTTTTACAAAGTGAGCTAATTAAAATATTAAATAAAATATTAAAATAAGTAGACAGTTTTGAATATTTCTGATTAAGTTACATTTGTTCTTTGTACATTTTTCTAATACAAATGGTGGAAATTATAGAATATAAAACTCCAATTAATCTTTCCTTCCTTGAATGGAAACATGATTCAGAAGTTAACAGCATTGATAGAATCTAAGCATTTTCCTAATGAAAAACAAATCTTAACAAAACATCAGTACAGTATGTTCAGTATGAAAGAGAATATAGGCTGGGCACTGTGACTCATGTCTGTATTCCCAGCACTTTGGGAGGCTGAGTAGAGAGGATTGCTTAAGGTCAAAAGTTCAAAACTAGAGTAAGCAACATGGTGAGACCCTATCTCTACAAAAAAATTTAAAATTACCCTGGGGTGGTGGTGCACGCCTGTTGTCCTAGCTACTTGGGAGGCTGAGGCAGAAGGATTGCTCAAGCCCAGGACTTCAAGTCTACAGTGAGCTATGATCGCTCTGCTGCATTCCAGCCTGAGCGGCAAGGGAGACCCTGTCTCCAAAATAAATAAATAAATAAAATAGAATATAGTTTTGCTTTGGTTATCCTTTTATTTACCAAAAAAAACAAAGAAAACTGAAGTTTTGTTCCATGTGAACTTGAAAACTGTTCTAGACTAAAGATGGTGGCTCATGCCTTTAACCCCAGCCCTTCGGGAGGCCAAGTCGGTAGAATCGTTTGAGGCCAGGAGTTTGAGACCATCCTAATAAACATGGGGAGATCCTGCCAATATAAAAAATTAATTAATTAATTAATTAAATTAGCTGGGTGAGGTGACACTCACCTGTAGTCTTAGCTATTTGAAAGGCTGAGAAGGGTGTTTGAGCCCTTGAGTTCAAGGCTATGGTTAGCTATTATGGCACCAGTGCACTCCAGCCTGAGCAACAGAGCAAAACCCTGCAGCTAAAAAGTAAAAGCAAAGCAAAGCAAAGAGAATTGTTTTGAACGGTCTGATTTTCTGATTTGTCATTAATTAAACAATTTAAGAAGTAGCACCTTAGCCAGGCATGGTATCTCACACCTGTAATCCCAGCACTTTGGGAGGCTGAGGTGGATGGATCACTTGAGGTCAGGAGTTTGAAACCAGCCTGGCCAATATGGTGAAACCCCATCTCTAGCAAAAATACAAAATTAGCAGAGCATGGAGGCACATGACTGTAATCTCAGCTACTAGGGAGGCTGAGACAGAAGAATCGCTTCAACCCGGGAGGCGGAGGTTGCAGCCAGCCAAGACTGCATCACTGCACTCCAACCAGGGCAACAGAGTGAGACTTTGTCTCAAATTTAAGAAAAAAAAAAGAAGCAGCACCTCAAAAAAAAAAAAAAACTTTTAAGGGGAGCGATAAATACACTTATGCTTACGAGCATGTGCACATATGTGCACACACCCATAAACCCAATAAATATGACTGAAGATGGTAAAGAAATTAGGTTAGGAAAAAGTATTTTCTATCTAATACTACAGACAAATGGCTTATATTATTAATATACAAATGGCTGTTCTAAGACAAAAAATATTAAAATTCAGGTAGAATAAATATGAGTAACAACCAAACATAGTTAAAAGGAAAGTAATTTTAAAATTTTTGAAAAAATGTTCAATCTGACTTAAAATATTTTTTAAAATACCATTTAAAGCCACATACTGCCATTTCAACTGCCTGATTGGTAAAGATAAAAAAGTCGTTCAGTAAATCTACAGCTTCCTCGGGGTATTGGGGAAGCAGGAACACTCACCTTTGATTGGTGTGGAGGATACATGATTTCAATGTCCTTAAGATAAATTTTTCAGTAATTTTAAAAACTAGAATGTTTATAAAGTTTCTAAAGATTTACTCAAAATATATACTCACTGATATGAATTGAAGAATGTCATCAAAGCATGTTAGTGATAGCAAAACACTGAAAAGAAGAAAAATACACATCAATCATTCCTGGTTAAGTAAGTTATGCAGAGTAATACAACGGAAAACTATGATATATAAAGAACTAGGTAATTTTATTTTGTTGATCCAGAACTTTGAATATCTTTTTTTTTAAAAGTAAGAAGAAGAACAATTTGTAGTCTGTTAACATTTGTGTTAAATGTTAAGTGCTCCATGTCCCTCTGTTATTCTACATGCATAGACAACTTCAAATTGTATTCAAACATCAGGACAGTTGGTGGTCTTTGAGTAGAGGGACTGGGTGGCCAGGGGTCAGAGATGGGAGAAATGGGTGTGTTTTTTCCTGCATTTATCAGTCACTTCAATAATAGCTTTGGGAAAATACTTGGACAGACTTTCCCATTCTGATGTTATTAAGGAAAAAGAAGCCTAGGGTCAATGGCTCAACATCCATAATTCCAACATTTTGGGAGGGCAAAGCAGTAGGATCACTTGAAGCCAGGAGTTTCAGATCAGCCTGGGCAACAAAGCAAGACCCTGTGTCTACTACTTAAAAAACAAAACTCTTAGCCAAGTGTGGTGGTGGGCATCTGTGGTTCCAGCTACTCAGGATGATGTGGGAGGATTGCTTAAACCCAGGAGATTGAGGCTAAAGTGAGCTGTGATCATGCCAACTGACTGCAACCTGGGTGACAGAGAGAAACCCTGTATCTTCAAAAGATTAAAAGAAAAGAAAAAGGGAGGGAGAGAAGGAAGGAAGGAAGGAAGGAACGGAGGGAGGGAGAGAGGGAGGGAGGGAGGGAGGGAAAGGAAATATAGTAAAATATTCCCTGTTGGCTTTTTTATGGCATTCCTTGTCCACATTTAAATCTTTGAGTTGACTGATATTTTCATGTCTTCTACAGGTTCTTGAGTGGCCTACAGATTAAGGAGAAGAAACAGCACATAAACAGAAACACAAAAACAATATTTTCAAAAGAGGTGGCCACTCGGTTCATAAGGAGACAAAAAGCTTCTCACTGGTTATTCACTTGATGTTCAGTCTTGAATGATGACCTCATCTCCTGGATATGGAAACTGAGTTATTTCGTATTTTATACTTGCTGTTTTTGCCATTCATTCAGACAAATGTATGGAAATGATAGAAGCATCCAGTTCCCTATGGGGGAAAGGTCAGGTCAGTACCCTGGTGCTTCTGGTCAGCATCTCAGCAACTAGTTTTCCATCATTCTGAAAATTCATTTCTCCTCAGCTATTCATTTATCTCAATAGAATGTGTTGAATCAATCTCTTTCCTAATTATGTAAGTGGCTTCCTGTATCAAAGATAAAATTGTCTGGTTATCGGGATGAATTTGGGGACTCTATTCTGTTTCTATTTATTTTTTGGTTTAGTGCTGTATTGGTACCACGTTGCTTTAACCATGATGGCTGGATATTATGTTTTCTTTTCTGATAATGCTGGTTTTTCCTCCTTATTTTCTTTTTATCATAACTCTTCATCATCTGCCTGCATATATATTTTTTCATATACTAGGGACTTTTATCATTGCATTACAGATAAGGAAACCAAATATTAAAGAACTAAAATGTTCAAGTCGCAAGGCTTGTAAATATCAAAACAAAGATTTGGACTTAGTTGTGTTGGACACCAAATCTACACTTAGAATCTTTGGATTTGAACCCTATAGGCTAGAAACATGATTCTTTTTACGTTTCTATTTATTTTGTATTCTTGTAAGTTGTATGTATTGATTTTTGCTTTTTTTTAGTATTTTTGAATAACCTAGTTGAAATGTTAAAACCTCAGTTTTCATAAATATATACAATTTTTTCCTGGGACAGGATCTGATACAACTGATTTAAAGTTGGAATAGCACAGTTCTGGGAATTGTCGGCACTGGAGACTTCGTGATAAACTAAAAGAATCTCAAAATAGAGGCAAAATCAAATATATAAATTTTTAAAATTATAAGTTATTTCAAACTTACAGAAAGTTACAAGAATAGTTAGGATTGTCCTCTATACCTTTACCCAGATTTACCTAATTATAATATTTTTGTTCTCTGCTCTCTTTATATAATATACATGTTATAGATTTTCCTGAACATTTGAGAGTAAGTTGAGTACATCATCGCCCTTCACCATTAAATATTTTAGAGGATGTTTTCTAAAATACAGACTTGTACCCATAGTACAATTATCAAGTTTTTTATATTGAATATTTGTACAGAATTTTATCAAATCTGCCAGTCACATTTCAATTCATCCTGGAGTATCCTTTACAGCATTGAATTTCTTCTACTACATATTTTATTGGCTATGAATTATAGTCCATAGTCATAGATTCTAGTCTATGGTCACATAATATATTTAGCTACCATATGCCTCTAGACTCCTTTAATTTGTAAAGGTTCCCCAGGCTTTCTTTGCCTTTTACGATATTGACATTTTTGAAGAATAAAGTTGAAGGACTACTTTTATAGGCCCTTATATCACCTTCATAGTGTGTGTTTGAAGCATACCTTTGTTCAAACTGTAAAGAGTATTTTTACATATAGAAGTGCTGAGGCCTTTAGAGCCAGCCAAGGCCAGAATCACAAATGACATTAAAGATACGGCAATACCAGACATGCCAGGATGTTCAGAGAGAATTTTCCACACAGAAGGACTCTCTGCATTGAAGGCAGAGTAAATAACGGAAGGGGGCATGACTTAAATTCCAGGTTTTTAGGGGTTACCTGACAAAGGAGAAGTTGTTGTTACAGAAGAAGCTAGGAAAAGAAAAAAGCTGCCAAGTCTGCTAAATCTCTGTAATATGAATGAGAAAGGTTTGATTTTCTGGGCGAAGACTGTTCCTTTAGAATCAGAAGAGAATTGAAGAAATCAAAGCAAGTAAATCATGTAGTGCTTGACTTCAGCAATTTCTAATCTCAGCGATGAAGCTGTCCATATTATAACTGTCATAGGCATACATCACACAGGGAGAAATACTCATGGGAATATGCTTACACACCTACCTGCCTACATCTATATCAATATATACCATCAAGTAAATCTCCTCATTAATTATGTTTTAAAATATTAGATATTTTTAAAACCACCAATAGTGGTTTGAGTTAAACTAAAAATTTAGAGAATAGAAGAGAAAAATAGTGAAACCATTCACAGAGGAATAAACTTTGATGTGATTCAACACTACCATACATCCTGCTCTATGTAACTTCATGTGCTCCCATTAGAGACTGAATTTTGCTAAGGAGAGGTTCTCACCCACTCTCTACATCAAGATGGGTTTAGGTATGCAGCTTGGCATAGGGATGTGATGCCAATTCTATATGTGAAAATTGAATTGCTCAGTGTGAGAACAGGGGAAAAATTAAAATGTTAGGAGACCTGAAAGTGAAGGACCAGCAGGTTGGGAAGTTTACCTTCAAGAAGAGACACGATAGACCTCAGAGGCATAGTAGCCTACAAGAGACAAAGATGACAAATGATTAAGAGAGGTGATCAAATTATTTGCCATAGGGTGTGCTAACATTTTTCTCAATAATTTTACACTCTTGCAAGATATTAATAGAGGCTATATTGCTCACTCATGCTTTTTGGTTTAAGCAGATTGTTCTAGGTAAACTTGAAAAGTTTCTTAGTTCTATGTCAGGGTTGATCAAAGGCAGGACCCGTTTATATTGTGGAGCTGGAGTTAAAAATAGGGAAGATCCTAAAAGTATAATGATCAGAGAATAAGCAAACATTTCTGGGAAAACTCCAGGCTTTCAAGGTTGTGAAATTGGTCATTTCAAAGCTGAGAACTCAAAGGAGTAAAGTTAGACCAAGTTAATATCTGGTTTTATTTGACAAAAATATAAAAAATGTACTGAAGTATACATGACATTTCTAAATGGTTAGGGTTGGAAATTAGCAAGGCCAAGAGAAGGATGGAGAAATATGGTAGCCCAGGATAAGTGGCTGGATCTGCTTGGTTGAATGGTGTGGATGGGATTGGGGATGCACCTTCTTTTTCTCCCCTCTTCACCCTCTTTACACTAAAGGCCCTCATAGCTCTGTAGGCCATAGAGCACATGCTCAGGGCCCAGTGGCCTGAGATAGCAGTGTGCTGTATAAAATAGAGAAAACTTTCATTTCTTGAACAGCTGTAGTACCCATGGATGAGTTCAAACTCAACCTCCTAGGACATTTCCTGTTTCTTTTTTCTTTTTGTGGAGTGTGAGACTCTTTTCTGTTTTATGTACTCCCTCCAGATGAATCAATTTTTAGAAAAAGCAGACAGAAATAAGATTTTTAAAAAATTCTGGATTTGCCCACCAATGAAGGTTGGCTGTATTTTATTGTTCTTGTTTTTATTTTCATGTTTTTCTTCCAGTTCTACTAAATCAACAGACATGTGAGATGGAACATCTCAGCATAAATAGGAAATATTTTCTACTAGGAGAACAGGCTGGACAAGACAGTGATTAAAGTGATTACCGAATCTTCTATCTAAAGCTCACGGGCAATTCTATCTTGGTGTTGTAAAAAATTCCAAGATGAGGTTGAAACACCGTGATACAGTGTCTGTGGAGTGGATTGTTAAGAGAGTGCAGCATACTTGTGGGGAAGCAGAATCATACAATTGTTCAGCACTCTGTTTTCTACATGAGGCACCTCTGGACCTGGCCTCTGTCTTTGTGATGACGTGGAGATAAAGACTGAGTGTCTGAAAGCCTCCGATCAGATGCTAAATATTGAATTCTGACCTCAGGGAGCAAGAATCCTACCTGACAGAGCACACACACACCTATGTAGGTCATTGATTCTGCAGCTGTCCTCAGCAGAGGGCTTCTGACTGGAATCTCAATAGAGAACCATGTGCATAAAGCACTTCTTTATTTGAGTTTTACAAAGAAGGTGCAATATAAAGTGTGTTTACTACCTTTACAAATAAATAACAGAAAAGAAACACAGAGTCCATGAACCCAATGTAGAAAGTCATATAATTCATAGGTAATAAAGCTCTGTAGCTTGCGTAGGGAGAGAAGAGTGACAGTTTGGTTCCACTTTTGTTGCCTTCTTGTTTCACACAGAAGCAAGATAGAAAGTCCTCAGCTGATCCCACATTCTCTAAGGATATTAATTTATCATAGTCTCAACCACCCCAAGAATTCAGCTGATTCACTTGCCTGTCTTCCTCCACCACCAACCCTCTCTCTTTCACTAATACTGTGTTTCTATGGCTGCTGTAACAAATTACCACAAACATAATGGCATAAAATGACACAGATTTGGTAACTTACAGAAAGATGAAATGGTTCTCAATAGGCTACAATTTATGTATCAGCAGGGCAACCTCATTTTTGGAGGTCCTAAGGGACAGTTTGCTTTCTTGCCCTTCCCAGCTTCTAGAAGCTTCCTGCATTCTTGGTTTGTTGTCCCTTTCCATCTTCAAAGCCAGCAATGGACATTTGAGTCTTTCTAAAATCACATATTTCTAATCCTGACTCTTCTGCCTCCATCTTCCCCATTTAAGAGCCCTGTGACTATATTGGTCCCAACTAAATAATTGAGGTTGATCTCTATATTTTAAGGTCAGTTGATTAGCAAACCTAATGCCATCTTATACCTTTAGTTCTTTTTCCGTGGAAGATAACATATTCACTGGTTCCAGGAATTAAGAAATGGACATCTTTGGGGTTCATTACTATGCCTACCACAACTACTGTATACCATATGAAGTCTGACCCAAACTTATATGATTCTTGTTCTATTGAACAATGTCTTAAAGAGCTTATCTCCAGAATGTCTAGATTTGTTGGCCTCAGCTATTCTGATATTATCAACCACAGACTACTCACAACTGCCCATTTCAGCATTCTTGTGGCAGATATGTGCAAAAGACTTGTCCTTTTCAACATTCCTGCACTGTGTTCTTTACAAGGCCATCTTTCCATATATCAAGACTTGACTCTGTGAAAATTCTGCAACCAGCAATATAGAAGATGGAAGCCTCTCACTGTGTAGACACAATATCCATGATAACCTAAAGATTTGAGTCCTGAAGAAGGTGAACTTCCAGATAGGGTTGGAGGAAAACAAAAGGTCTAATTTCTAAAACAATTGAGACCGAGCTATAAACTGAATACTCTTAATATCTTAGCATAACTTGAGGTGCAGAAATACACCTACCCCAACACTCCTGAACTACTGCGGGGTAATCAGAGTAGCTGCATAGTTCCTACTGTCTACCAAATCTGAAAAGCTCTAGAGAAAATTTGCAACAGAAATGGATTCTGTTCTTCTAAAAATTCCTCTTCAGACAAAGCAAGTCGCTGGTGGCCACTGTGTTGGTCTCTGGTAGCTGTTTTCCTCTCACGGCTACCTTTGTCTTATTCAGAGTAATATTCAGGCCCAACCCTGGGCCTAACATGTATCAAGAATCCCCACTGCTTCTCCAGCTGTGGCCTCCTCTTCATCTCAGTTACAGCCCAGACATTTGTCTCTGTTATAGCCACAGGCCCACTTCAAACCTATCTCCCAATTCTACTAACATCCTCTCCAACATGTTAGAGTCTGTGGAGTATTGCTTGCTAGAATCCAGAAAGAAGCACGTCTCTTATGATGATTACTATTGGAAAAGAAAAATGATGCTCATGGTGGAAGCAACTGGAAAGGTTCAGGAGTTTACCCTAAGAGGTCCAGAGATCTCAGGAAGCCTTAGTCTTCCAGCTCACAGCCTTCCCCAGGATGGCCTGGCCTCTCTGTTCTATGTGATGGGGTCTAGCATTCCTTAAAATTTTGCTGTCAGCAAGAATATATGGGAACAATCCTAGCATCACATTCAAAATAGGCCTGGCCTGCACAATTGCAGAAAATCTGGCATTCATGCAGCCTTATAGCAAATAACCAGAGATCTCTAAATCAAAAAGGAAACGTGGCCTCTCATGGCCCTCTGTGTTTAAGGCCAAAGCAGTAAGATTCGAAGGACTGGGTTGATGCATCCAAGAAGCTTCTAGGGGAGAAGGCCCAGAAACACCTGCCTAAAGAATGACTTAAGGACCTGGCATATATCCTAAGAAGTCCAAAGTATAACCTCTCAAGGCTCTTGGAAATATACTTAATAAAGAGTCAGGGAGCTAATGCTGAGAAGGAGGTAAAAAGTGACTTAGTGACTCACTCAGTGAATGACTTATTTTCATGATTTAAGGGAGAACCAGAAGAAATCATCCAGAAAACATCCAGAACATAACCTTGGTCAGAAAGACAGAGCATGTCAATGAGGGTATACATTCTTCATGGATAGCAGCCCTCTCTATCTTCTCCCTTCATAAGAAGTCTCATATACATGTGGAATCAAAAATATGCTATTTTATTGGGTCAATAACATCATCTCAATACCTCTTGGAGCTTTCATTCCTTGATCTCAGGACTCAACAGGTGCTAGAAGCCTACTTGATATAATTTTGTGGTTGGCAGAGGTGAGGCCTAACTCTCAAGGTCCTTGAATCCAGAAAACTGTATCGGATGAGAAAAGCCCAAACCTGGTCTATTTCTTGGGGAAGGGCATACTGGACATGCTTGGTTTAGGGGCAGACTCCATAGCCATGGTTTCTCAGCTTCTAATAGGAAAATGTCAAGCATTTCATGGAGAACAGGTGATTACAAAAAAAAATTGCTTTTTTTTTTTTTTGAGATGGAGTCTTGCTCTGTCACCCAGGCTGGAGTGTAGTGGCACAGTCTCGGCTCACTGCAACCTCCACCTCCCGGGTTCAAGCGATTCTCCTGCCTCAGCCTCCTGAGTAGCTGGGATTATAGGCATGCCACCATGCCCAGATAATGTTTGTATTTTTAGTAGAGATGGGGTTTCACCATGTTGGTCAGGCTGGTCTCGAACTCCTGACCTTGTGATCTGCCTACCTCGGCCTCCCAACGTGCTGGGATTACAAGTGTGAGCCACTGCGCCTGGCCACAAAAAAAGTTCTTATCTACTCTTGACAATGTTTTATTTGAACTTTCCCCTATAGATGAGGAAGACAAGAAAGACTTGAGATGGTCCCACTTTGATATCAAACATGAATTTCCAGGAACCAACCCCTCATGCCCCACATCAAAGACAAAACCAGGCACAATGAGACTGAACTAGAGAGCTGGAGGACAGGGGGTGCACACTGGGTCAGCGGGAACAAGCATCCTTTTGCTTTCATGTCCAAAAAAAAAAAGACAGTGCATTAATTGAGACCCTCCAAAAAGAAAAAGGCCTTGAGAGACAATCTATTCGGGAAGGATATATTATAGAAAGGGATCCAAGGTTGGGGAACTTTACACACCAGAGGAAAGACAAGCAACTTGGCCAGGGACAGGAAGTCAAACAGATATTCATTCTGTTGAGCAAAATGTCCTCAGTTCCTTTCCTAAAAGGATTGGGCTCCTCAGAAAAGTAAAGTCAGATAAAGAACACATCATTAACTAGGGTGAATTAGCCCCAGGAAAAAAATGAAAAAGTCAGTAAGCTCCCCTGAAACAAAATATATCAATGTCACTATCTGAGCAGAGTTCAGGCCTATTCCAACCAAACCGATCTGGGGATTCTGAAGATATTGAAAGTCAAGATCAATGTCAGTCATGGACCTGATCCCACAGCATGCACTGGGTCTAAGGCATGGACTTCATGCAGGGAAGACAGTCAACACAAAGAGGTACTTTACAGATCACATAGCTAACTAAACATGCCTGTAATTACTGGGCTGCCTTCTTCCTTGTGCAAAGCAGAGAAATAAAGGCTAAACCTGCAGGATTCAAGCATGTTCTGAAGACCTGAATTTAATGAGGGGAATCATGTAGATCAGAAAAAAATTCTAGATATTATGAAATTACTTCCAAAAAGTAGCGCTGGAGACATGTGGTTTCAGCTATACTAATTTATGAGGGTTATCTGTACCTTGATTTGAACTTGAATCTCTACCACTCTCCAGTTTCATGGCTTTGGGAAAACTACTTAATCTAAATGATCCTTCATTGCCTTTTCTATTATTTCTTATCTCACTGTTCTGTTTTGAAACACATATGCATTTATATTTATATATCGCATTAAGCCCAGTTCCTGTTCAAAAAATGCTAGTTCCCATTTGTTTTCTTCTTTGCCCTCAATTGAAGAAGATGCTAGTTCATTTATTTCAATAACAGGTGCATTGAGTTATTGACAAACACGATATATTTTCAGATTAAAAGCTGAATGAAAATGAGAAATGGTGTTTCCTCTAGAACCGTTGACTTAAAAAACAGGAAATAGAAAAAAATTAATTGTTCTATTTTCACCATAGTTTCTATTAATGTGGAAAAATACAGAAAAATGAATGGTTATCTTGAATTAGTATTATAACAGTTGTGTCAAAAAGGTATATTTTTAAAACTTTGGCTTTTTTTTTTTTTTCTCATTCTGCCAAGCTAAGTCCATATACTAAGCACACCGCAACAGCCTAATTTAAACCTGTGGTCAAGGGAAATCAATTTAGCTAAAAATACACTTTGGAGTTTTAAAGAATTAAAGTACTTCTAGACTATTCAAATATTACTGTTTCCTTGAATACATTGTCACATTTATGTAAAATCTGAAATATAGACTCTTTTCCTCTTGGCACTAGAATCCCCTTCTCGTATCTCTTTCATAGAGCAATCTGCTTTTAGGGGACAAAGAATTTGCTAAAATGCTTGTAGTGAGAGGAAAGGCCCTGAAGGGTTTTGCTCAACTAATAATGGATTGTCACTGAACTGTCTGTTTAAGGGGGTGACTGTTTAACTACAGGGCTTCAGCTTTGCTGAACAGGGTGTGCCATGAGGGGGCAGAGCAGACTTGTTTGAAGCAATCAAAATGTGTATTTGCTCTACAGGAAAAGAGTTGGCAAAGAAAATTGTACACCATGAGCAAATGGGATTTATTTCAGATATGCAAAGCTAATTCAGTATTTGAAAATCTAATGTAACCATCACATCAACAAGCTAAAGAAGATAAACCATATGATCATATTGTTAGATACAGAAAGAGCATTTTACAAAATCCAACACCTAGTCATAATAAAAACTTTCAGCAGACTAGAAATATAGAAGACTTTCTAAACTTAAAGAACATGCACAAAAACCCTACGGCAAATATCATATTTAATGGTGAGAAATTATATCAGTAAAAAGATATGCCCAGTTTAATCACTCAGACACAACATCTTATTAGAAGGACTAGCTAATGCAATATAACAAAGAAAAGGAAATAAACATATATATGTTAAAAAGAAAGGAGTAAAATTGTCTTTTTTCACAGATAACATGATTGTTAATGTATTTAGAAAATCAGAAAAAGTCAACCAAAAATCTCCTGAAATTAAGCAAATATAGTAAGATTCAGATACCAGTTTAATATAAAAAAGTTAACCAATTTCCTACATACCAGCAATTAGCAGTTGGAATTTAAAATTTGAAAATTTTAAAAATACTTTTGCCATACAAAAAATTTTTATATGCATATTGCTAAGTAAAAGGAGTTAGTGTGAAATGGCTCTACACTGTGATTTCTCTTCAATAACATTTTGGAAAAGGCAAAATTATTGAAGTGGTTTCTGGAAAATTGGGGGATGGAAGAAGAGAGGGATGAATAGGTAAACACGGGGGAGTTTTTAAGGTATTGAAACTATTTTATATGATATTGTAATTATTAATACATGACACTATATAATTGCCCAAAATCAGAAATGTACAGTGCAAAGAGAGAGTCTTAAAGTATGTAAATTCAAATATCTACCATTTAGGAGATTGGGGTATTCCAGCATGAGACATAGTATGTGACAAAAAAGGCTAACTCTATTACAAATATCTAAAACAACCTCATTGAAAGAATGATAAAAAGGTGCTGACCTAAGTAACTGGAAACCTATGGACCCTTTAAAACCGAAGCGAAAGAAACTGTACATAGCACTATACTTTGGTTGATAAAGTTATTTCCCATGGAGATACAAGTTAAAAATTCTGATGTTTCATATATATAGTCATTTGTTGCTTAACAACAGAGATACATGTTGAGAACTGCTTCATTAGTCAATTTCATCATTATGTAAACATCATAGAGTGCTTACGCCAGCCTAGATAGTATAGCCTACACGCACCTAGGCTATATGTTATAGCCTATTGCCCCTAGGCTACAAACCTGAATAGCATGTTACTGTATTGAATTCTGTGGACAACTGTAACATAATGGTAAGTACTTGTGTATTTAAACACATCTAAACATAGAAAAGGTGCAATAAAAATATGGCATTCTAATCTTACGGGATCTACATTGTATATACAGCGTATTGTTGGCTGAAACATTGTTATGCAATGTGTGACTCTATACTGGACTTGAACAATTAAGAAAACAAATGGTAGATGATGGAGTCAGTTTTCTCATCATTGGAATGGGATTTTACAAACAATGGCAGGATACCAGAATAATTCATGTGATAATAGACTGGAGTTGAAGACTGTGTGTAAACTCATATTTAGCTTAATATAAATACAGACGTTTAGATATGGAAACATTTAAAAATATGTGCATATATATATGTTCTTCTGCACACATATGTCCTTGCTCTGTCAGCTGAGAGGGCATATAAATAAAAACAGTCCTGCAGGAATGAACACATCTAGCTCCTAGACCTTGATTTCTAATACCATTGTCTTATAAAAGGAGCCATTTAGAGAAATGGCTGGGGCAGAAAATATAAAAAATGAGTCATCTTGTAGTTCCAGAAAGTAAAAAGTACTCAAAACAAATAAAAATCAAAAACCACTACCCACAGGAATGAGGGTATGTCAAGGGAAGCAGAAGGCAATCAAAAGAGCTCCTATGGCCAATACTATACCAATTTGAATAACAAAAGTAGAATTATATTAGAACCATAGAGTTATTGTGTATGAGTCTATGCTGATATAAATAAGTGATTGGATACATAAATCAATAAATGAAAGAAGAAACAACTCTCCAACGTAGAAGAATTTCAGGTAATTTTTGCAGATATTCCTCTCTCAAGGAGGTGGTGCCTTACTGCCCACTCATAAGGTGTGGGCTGAACAGTGTCTTCCTTTCAAAGAAGGAATGGGAAGTATGAAAAGCAGGGAAGAAAAAAGTAACTTTACAGTGGAGAAACCTGACAAGCCTTACTTGAGCCTGCTGACTGAGGTCAATATCAACAGCGATAAGTCATGTTGACAGTATGAAAGGTTGATATAATGTGATGGAAATGGCACTTTACCACTATGGATTTTGTGACAACAGCTCATAACTCAAGTCTAATCATAAGAAAACATCAGACAAACACCAGCTGAGGGACATTCTACAAAATACTTGACCAATACTCCCCAAAACTGTCAAGATCATCAAAAACTAGGGGAGTCAAACTGTCACATCCAAAGGAGCCTATGAAGACATTTTGACAACTGTAATGGGGTATACTGGGTGAGATCCCGGAATAAAACGAGGACAATAGGTAAAAGCTAATTGCGTATTTAAATTAATTATATAGAATAATTTTAAAATGTTGGTTCTTTAATTGTCAAATATACTATTCTAATGTAAGCTTCTTTGCTTCTTTTTTTTTTTTTTTTTTTTTTTTTGGAGACGGAGTCTCGCTCTGTCACCGAGGCTGGAGTGCAGTGTTGCGATCTCGGCTCACTGCAACCTCTGCCTCCTGGGTTCACACCATTTTCCTGCCTCAGCCCCCTCAGTAGCTGGGACTAGAGGCGCCCGCCACCATGCCCGGCTAATTTTTTTTTTATTTTTAGTAGAGACGGGATTTCACCGTGTTAGGCAGGATGGTCACGGTCTCCTGACCTCATGTTCCGCCCGCCATGGCCTTCCAAAGTGCTGGGATTACAGGAGTGAGCCACCGCTCCCAGCCTTGTAAGCTTCTAATAAGAGGGGAAACTGTGTTCAGGGTATATAGGAACTATGTAATATCTTCTGCTGTCTTTACAATTTTTCTATAAATGTAAAAATACTATAGAAAATAAAGTCTGTTAAAAACAAACAAGCAAACAAAAACAATTGTGTCCTAGGCATCCTCATTCCATGCCTCCCAGTTAGCCTGTGTCCCAGGCAGGACCATGCAGTGTCCAGGATGCCAGGTTGATCAGATGGCGTGTGCCATTGCCCTGGCTGTGCCTTTTGCTCTTTGTCACTTCTAACCTGCCTGAAAGTCCTCCTCCATCTCTTTTAAAAGTGAAAATATATTTCAAAAAAAAATTCAGTCATAAAAATAAAAGATGTTACATTGGGAAATTCTGTAAATAGTGGTATCTGTTTTTACTGTGTTTTCACATGTGCTTGATGACAACATGTAATTCTCCTTTTAAATTCCACTCATACCTCACTATGAGTATGTTGAAAGTTTTAACATGGATATTATACCTCTATTAGAATCATTCTTAAATGACTTTTAAAAAGTTCATTTTTCTTTTCCAAATATATTTGTTTCTTCTAATACGAGTGTGATGTCATCCTTCTCTGCCATGCCTTCTGCCAAACTTCAGTGTATTTCAGTAGCTAAATTAGAGTATTTGGGCTAAAAGGAACCAAGGAGTTAAACTCAGCTCTTATGGAGTGACTGCTTCAGCTTCTAAAGAAGACCTTGTTCATGGATGGAGGATGGCAGTGGTGTTGACACCACTACCATCCTTGGCTTATTTTATTTGCACCTCCTCAGATATCCTATTGCCATTTATTTTATTTATTTATTTATTTATTTATGAGACAGTCTCACTTTGTTTCCCAGGCTGAAATGCAGTGGTGCAATCTCGGCTTACTGTAGCCTTTACCTCCTGGGTTCAGGTGATGCTCCTGCCTCAGCCACACAAGCAGTTGGGACTACAGGCACACGCTACCTCGCCTGGCTTTTATTATTTTTTTTCTTGTGGGATCAGGGTCTCTCTGTGTTACCCAGGCTACTCTTGAACTCCTGGGCTCAAGCAATCCTCCTGCCTCAACCTCCCAAAGTGCTGGGATTACTGAAATGTGAGCCACTACACCTGGCCAGATATCCTGTTTTTAAAACACATAGTATTTTCATAATATTGTCATAAGGAAAAAATATGTACACTAGAAAAAAATACTATAAAATCCTTCAGGGTCTTTTGAAATCTACTTTTAAAAAGTGTACTGCAGGCCCAATTTCAGGTTCTGGCTCAAGCATTTATGCCTGCCCCCACTGTCCTGAAGTCTGTGAACTCTGCTACTGTGGGGTAGATGTGAATAAACTGCCCTAAGAAGAGATGCCATTCTCTGACAGTCTTTACAGGCAGATAAGAGACTAGTAGCTTCCTCTATCACACACGGGAAAATTGGAAGTCTGAGGGTTGGCTAAGCCCTGAGCTCTGAAGTTGGGGGAAATCTCTATCTCTGATTCTTTTGCTGGAAATAGCTGCAATTTGCACTATGACCCTTCGTTTTTTCCCCAGTAAAGAGTTGGGGGATGGGCTCAGTGGCTTATGCCTGTAATCCCAGCATTTTGGGAGGCCAAGGTGGGTGGATCACAGGGTCAAGAGATGGAGACCATCCTGGCCAACATGGTGAAACTCTGTTGGGTTTTCACCCAAAAATTAGCTGGGCGCGGTGGTGCACACCTGTAGTCCCAGCTACTTAGGAAGCTGAGGCAGGAGAATCGCTTGAATCCAGGAGGCAGAGGTTGCAGTGAGCCAAGGTCACGCCACTGCACTCCAGCCTGGTGACAGAGGGAGAATCTGTTTCAAAACAAAAACAAAAAACGAAACAAAACAAAACAAAAAAGAGTTGGGAAGTGAGCACTGCCACCCCAAACTCTTAGCTTAGTCTTAATGAAGATGCAAAGAAGTCCATCTCTTTCTCTTCTTATACCTAAGCTATAGAGTATTCCTGGGCAGGGAATTGCTGTGTGTGCACATGAGCAGGAATTTTGTACTGCTCTACCTGAAAGGAGATATGCCACTCTCTTACTTGCCTTCCCTATCTTATCCCCAGAGAGGGCGCTAACAGCTTGTGTTTGGAGATTTTTAGCTGTTGACAGCAGGACATTTGGGATCCTGGGTGCTGAATATAGTAAGTCAAATTATTGTTTGTGTATCTGCTCTCCCCACCAAACAATAGCACATTAGTTCGTTCACACACTACTATAAAGAAATACCTGATACTGGGTAACTTATAAAGGAAAGGGATTTAATTGACTCACAGTCCCACATGGCTAGGGTGGCCTCAGGAACATAAAATCATAGCAGAAGGTAAAGGGGAAAAGGACCTATTTCACATGGGGATAAGAGAGAGAAGAGCAAGCAAGTGAAATGCCAGATACTTATAAAACCATCAGATCTCATGAGAACTCACTCACTACCACCAGAACAGCATGGGGAAAACCGCCCCTATGATTCAATCACCTACCACCAGGTTCCTCCCTCAACACCTGGGGTTTACAATTCAATATGAGATTTGGGTGGGGACACAAAGCCTAACCATATCAAATAGGAAGCCTAGGAAAAGGGAGGGCTGAGGAAAATGACAGAAAAGCTTGGAGGTTGAGAAGGATACATTATTTAGCAGCCTGTGCAAGAAATATCTTCACATTGTTACAAGCAGTTATCAAAAAAGGGAGGGTAAAAGTATGATTCTAATATAGGTATAATATCTATGTTAAAGCTTTCAACATACTCATAGTGAGATACGAGTAGAATTTAAAAGGAGAATTACATGTTGTCATCAAGCACAGCTGGAGGAAACACCAACTTCACCTTGCCCTAGAGGGCAATGCCAGGTTGAGTAATATCCATGCAGATATTATCAGATACTATCAAAGATAAATCTCATGTGTTCTTCCACAGAAAGGCCACCAATGTGCTCTAAAGCCATAAGCCCTGAGAAATTATTAGAAGATGAGACCTGGGTTTGCTGTGTATGTATCAGGGGAAAAGGTGCTAGCATCATGATTAGGGATGCTGGGAACTTCCCATTTCTTCATACCAACTGGTTAATCTTTGGTTCTTCAACCTTTTCTTCTGTGGTCCTACCTATGTACAATAGAAAAAAGGTCTTTTGAGTTCAAGGATAATTTTTTCTGTCAGTATTTATTGACAGTAATTACTTTGCATTGCTGTCAATTATCTACAACTTTTACAGTGTTTTAAAATAGATGCCATAGAATCAAATTCTGAAAACTCTGAAAGGTGCGCTATAGACAAAATACAGTTTTCAGCAGAAGCACAGCTATTTTTTCCTAAAATATGTTCAAATAGATTTCAGGCCATGCTCCAGGCAAAGCATATGAAATCATTTCACATACAGAGACATGAAAATTAAGCTCTGACCAATGCCAGCTTTCCATACTTTCCACGGGATAACTCAGCTTGCAGAGACTGCTGCATTTTTGAAAAATTAACCAGTGTCCAGAAGACACAGAACTGGGTAGATGTTGGGTTGCAGTGGGTGGTATATGTTTGGGAAATATTGCTGTAGTAAGCAACGGGATGGTGGGGTAGCATAGAAACAGCAGAGATGCAGCTTAAGAATTGTCAAAGTCTCTGGTATTAATCTATCTGGAACAAACATGAACTTGGAAATGCCAGCTCCCCATTGGCTTGGAGCCTCATGGAAGGAAAGGCCCTCCGCATGGAGAGTCTCTGTGAGGTTGCTGACTTGATGACTTCATTGCAAGGCACTGGGAGCAGATAACCTGTGCAACCACACAATTCCTAGTTTAAAATGGGACAGGGAGTGGGGAACAGGTTGACTTGGTGGTAGACTGCATAGGAACACAGGAAAAAAAAAAAGATGAAAAAGGAAAGATTAACCATTTGATATGAAGGAATGGGAAGACCCCAGTATTCCTAAGCATGATGCTCACATATTTTTCTCTAATATATACACAGCAAACCCAAGTATCACCTTCTTGTGACTGCTCAGTGCTTGTGGCTACAGACCACATTGGTGGCCTCTCTGTGGAAGAGCACATGGGATGTATCTTTGATAATATCTGCATGGATATTGTTCAACATGATGTTGCCCTCTTGGGCAAGGTAAACTTGGTGCTTCCTCCAGCTGTGTTTGATGAAAACATGTCAGACTCTGTCCTCTTCCTTCTAATACTTTTTTATAAGGTGAAGAAACAAAACTCTGTAATTTTCCAGGAGCCCTTTGTCAAATATCAAACATATTTTTATACGTTAAAGATGTCCTAACATTTTAAATTTATTTTTATATTTAAAATCTGATGTTAAAGCAAAATTCAAAAATTGTCATGATATTTGAACAGATAAGATAGGATTATGGTCATGGTTGCCTGAAAAACAATTCTTAGTTTTTCTATATAAAATGAGAATAAATATTTAAAAGTAAATATATAAGATAACATGATTGTAAATAATCTTGGTTCTTTCCTAAGCGAGAAAACTTTGTTTTCTTAAATAATCAAGAACATGATAAAATCAACATAAAGCATGGAAAATTATTCTAGTAAAAGATAGAATCTTTGCTGTCTCAGTAGATTGCATGAGAGAGGCAGAGGGCATCTTTCAGGTAGTAGACAAAGGCAATAAACAGTATATAAAGGAAACAAGCCCAAGGTTTCATGATGCAAGCCTGGAGATCTAAGCCAGGGCATGCATGCTCGCTGCCTAGTTATCTGGGCCCAGAAAGTGACAATCTCTCCAAAATAATTGAAATCTTGGCCAGAAGCGGTGGCTCATGCCTGTAATCCCAGCACTTTGGGAGGCCAAGGTGGGTGGATTACGAGGTCAGGAGTTTAAGACCAGCCTGGCCAAGATGGTGAAACCCCATCCTACTAAAAATACAAAAATTAGCTGAGCATGGTGGCGAGCACCTGTAATCGCAGCTACTCAGGAGGCTGAGGCAAAGAATTGCTTGAACCCGGGAGGCAGAGGTTGCAGTGAGCCGAGATTGTGCCACTGCACTCCAGCCTGGGCGACAGAGCAAGACTCCATATCAAAAAAATAAAAAAAAATAAAAAATAACTGGAATCTGAACTCCCCTTCCTAACCCATCAATTATGGCAGAAACAACTGAAAAATGTGTTACTTACTTCTGTGGTCCACAGATCTCAGGAAGCCCTTAGTCCTTCAGCTCTCAATCTTCCCCAGGTAAGCCTGGCCCCCTAGTCCTACGTAATAGTTTCTGAAGTTCTCAGAGAATTTGCTGTCAGGGAGGAGATTTAAAAACAACTGCAGTTCCACTTTCAAAATTGGCTCATTGAACAACAGATAGGCCTGGTCCGCATGACTAAAGAGACTTTGGCACTGATGCAGCCTCAGGGCAAATGTCCAGGAATGTTGGTATTCTAGATCCCCTCAAGAGCCCTAGGTACAGTACAGAACCCAAATTTGAGATATTCACATCTAGGGAGTAACTAACTACTTTCTTGTGTAGCTGCAAAACTCCCTTAATCATCAGTTTACTTCTTTCCGAGGGTATATCATTTTCTTTGATAACAGATGCCTCTTGGTCAGTACTCATTTTGTTAATGCTTTCATTTTTACTCATCCCAGCTTGGGATATAGGGGATGAATATGCTGTTGCCGTTGTAGTTAGTCTCACGGTATCCATCAACAACCAATAACAAAATAGTAATAGCCACCAAATGAGGTATTACCAGGGAGGGAAGTAAGGCCTATGTCCAAAGCAGCGTGTCCAAAAACCCCGGGGGATATCATTGCTTTAGTTGTGATATCTTTTTACCATTGGCTCCAGTTTAAATTATTATCAGTCACTGGTGTTTGCAGCTCAAAAAATTATTAGTCTGTACACCTTAGTGAGTGGATTCTATGGCTTTTTTTTTTCCCACAGATTCACTGAAAAGTTGCTGCCTTTTCAGTGTTCTTATATAAACCTCTACGTAGAATCCTCATACAACATATGAACTAACTACAATACCTAATCAGGCCAATCAGATGCTTGCCTTCTTTTTGTTTGCCAGATTTTTTTTTTTTTTTTTTTTTTTTAGACAAAGTCTTGCTTCTGTCGCCCATGCTGGAATGCAGTGGCACAATCTCGGCTCACTGCAACCTCTGCCTCCTGGGTTCAAGCAATTGTCTGCCTCAACCTCCTGATTAGCTGAGATTACAGGCACCTGCCACCACACCCAGCTAATTTTTTTTTTTTTTGTATTTTTAGTAGAAATGGGGTTTCACCATCTTGGCCAGGCTGGTCTTGAACCCCTAACCTCATGATCCACCTGCTTTGGCCTCCCAAAGTTCTGGGATTACAGGCATGAGCCACCATGGCCAGTCTGGAATTTTTAAGGCTACCAATTCTTCTTTAGTAGATTCATAGTTTATCCTTGGGACATTATTTTACATAGTGTTCAGATTTTTGCTTGGGTGATGATATGGTTTGGCTGTGTTCCCACTCAAATCTCATCTTGAATTGTAACTCTCACAATTACCATGTGTCATGGGTGGAACCAGGTGAGAGGTCACTGAATTATGCTCATGATAGTGAATCAGTCATGAGATCTGATGGTTTTAAAAATGGGAGTTTCCCTGCAAAAAGCTCCTTTTTTTTTTTGGTCTGTTGCCATCCACGTAAGATGTGACTTGCTCCTACTTGCCTTCTGTCATGATTGTGAGGCCTCCCCAGCCATGTGGAAATGTAAGTCCATTAAACTTCTTTCTTTTGTAAATTGCTCTGTCTTTGGTATGTCTTTATCAGCAGCCTAAAAACAAACTAATACAGTAAATTGGTACTCGCAGAATGGGGTGCTGCTGAAAAAAATACCCTGAAATGTGGAAGTGACATAGGAACTGGGTAACAGGCAGAGATTGGAACAGTTTGGAGAGCTCAGAAAAAGACAGGAAAATGTGGGAAAGTTTGCAACTCCCTAGAGACTTGTTGAATGGCTTTGTCCAAAATGCTAAGAATGATATGAACAATGAAATCCAGGCTGAGGTGGTCTCAGATGAAGATAAGAAACTTGTTAAGAACTGGAGTAAAAGCGACTTTTGTTTTGTTTTAGAAAAGAGACTGGTGGCATTTTGCCCCCACCCTAGAGATTTATGGAACTGTGAACTTGGGAGACATGATTTAGGGTATCTGGCAGAAGAAATTTTTAAGCAGCAAAGCATTCAAGAGGTGACAGGTGCTGTTAAAGGCATTCAGCTTTAAAAGGGACACAGAGCATAAAAGTTTGGAAAATTTGTAACCTGACAATACAGAAGAAAAAAAAATCGTATTTTCTGAGGAGAAATTCAAGCTGGCTGCAGAAATTTGCATAAGTAATGAGGAGCCAAATGTTAATCACCAAGACAATGAGGAAAATGTCTGCAGGGCATGTTGGAAACTTTTGCGGCAGGCTTTCCCATCACAGGCCCAGAGGTTTAGGAGGAAAAAGCATTTTGAGGGCCAGGTCCAGGGTCCCTCTGCTATGTGCAGTCTAGGGACTTGGTGCCCTGCATCTCAGCAGCTCCAGCTGTGACTAAAAGGAGCCAAAGTACAGCTTGAGCTGTTGCTTCAGAGGGTGGAAGCCCCAAGCCTTGGCAGCTTCCATGTGGTGTTGAGTCTGTGGGTTCACAGAATTCAAGAATTGAGGTTTGGGAACTGCCACCTAGAATTCAGAGGATGTATGAAAATGCCTGGATACTCAGGCAGAAGTTTGCTGCAGGGGTGGATCCCTCATGGAGAACCTCTGTTAGGGCAGTGCAGAAAGGAAATGTGGAGTTGGAGCCCCCACACAGAGTCCCTATTGGGGTACCCCCTAGGGAGCTGTGAGAAGAGGTACATCATCCTCCAGACCCTAGAATGGTTGATCAACTGACAGCTTGCACTGTCCACCTGGAAAAGTCGCAGACACTCAACACCAACCTGTAAATGCAGCCAGGAGGGAGGCTGTACCCTGCAAAGCCACAGGGGCAGAGCTGCCCAAGGCCATGGGAACTCACCTCTTGCAGCAGCGTGACGTGGATGTGAGACATGGAGTCAAAAAAGATCATTCTGGAGCTTCAAGATTTGACTGTCCTGCTGGATTTTGGACCTCCATAGGACCTGTAGCCCCTTTGTTTTGGCCAATTTCTCTCATTTGGAAAAGCTGTATTTACCCAATGTCTGTACCCCCATTGTATCTAGGAAGTAACTAACTTGCTTTTGATTTTTTTTTTTTTTACAAAGAATTTTGCTCTTAGGCTGGAGTGCAATGGCACAATTTCAGCTCACCACAATCTCCGCCTCCCGGGTTCAAGCGATTCTCCTGCCTCACCCTCCTGAGTAGCTGGGATTACAGGCATGCACCACCATGCCTGGATAATTATGTATTTTTAGTAGACATGGGGTTTCTCCATGTTGGTCAGGCTGGTCTCGAACTCCCGATCTCAGGTGATCTGCCCATCTTGACCTCCCAAAGTGTTGGGATTACAGTCATGAGCCACCATGCCCGGCCCTTGCTTTTGATTTTACAGGCTCATAGGTGGAAGGGACTTGCCTTGTCTCAGATGATATGTTGGACTGTGGACTTTTGAGTTAATGCTGAAATGATTTAAGACTTTCAGGGACTGTTGGAAAAGCATGATTGGTTTTAAAATGTGAGGACATGAGATTTGGGAGGGGGCAGGGGAGAATGATATGGCTTGGCTCTGTCCCCACTCAAATCTCATTTTGTACTGTAACTCCCACAATTCCCACGTGTTGTGGGAGGAACCTGGTGGGAGGTGATTTATATGGGGGCAGGTCTGTTCTGCACTGCTTTCGAGATAGTGAATGAGGCTTATGAGATCTGATGGTTTTAAAAATGGGAGTTTCCCTGCACATGCTCTTTTTTTTCCTGCCACCATCCATGTAAGATGTAATTTGCTCCTCCTTGTTTTCCACAATGTTTGTGAGGCCTCCCCAGCCACGTGTAACTGTAAGTCCATTAAAGATCTTTCTTTTGTAAATTGCCTAGTCTTCGGTATGTCTTTATCAGGAGCACAAAAATGGACTAATACAGGTGACTAGCCCATGTAACTTCGCAGGGTTAATTATGGTCCTGGCTACTCAGATATTGAGACATTTTCTCCTATGTCAGCCTGTACTCTGTTTTTCGCCCCTCCAATAAGAACAATTCATCAATATAATGGTACCATGTCACCTATGGTAGGATCTTAGACTTTTCCAGGTCTCTGCTTAATTGCTAGAGACGAATCATGGGGAAGTTTAGACAGCCTTTAGACAGTAAAGTAAAAATATATTGTGACACAGACATGAAAATACAAATTGATTTTGATCATCTGGATGCAATGGAGTGCTTGAGAAGCATTAGTAATGCCCACCCCTATGTACCAAGCACCTTCATTCTATGCAATAGATTCTGTTATCTGGAACTGCAAGGGCAAAGGGAGCTACTGCAACATTGACCTGGAAATAGTCCACAGAGACGTGTCAAGTACTGTGGGACTTCTTCACTGGCCACATAATGCTATCACAATGGGATAACATGAAGTAACTCTGCCTCTACTATCACCTTGAACAATGTTATGATTTCTTCCTACCGTTGCCCCTCCAGTATCTTATATTGTTTCATAGTAGTTACGTGATTAGGCAAAGTAAGGCTAATGTGCTCCAGTTATGTAATCTTCCTACTACCACTGTTCTAATCAGGGTATCTCCCCTTTGAGGACATTCCTTAGAATCAAGAGTGGATTACACACTCAACACATCTAACTCCACAATGTCTTCTGCATTATCAATACTGTTGTGCACTGCTCCAAAAGGACCTACTCACAAGTCGATTAGTTTATTGTCTAATTTGAGAATTTTTGCAAATCCGGTTAAAATTTTTTTTGGCCCCACTCTTAGGTGCTTTCCAGCACCACAGGGCTGAAAAGGTTTGGCAAACCTGGTTTCTGTAAAATCCTCTGTACACCTTTACAAGTAAATAAGGTCTCCAGTCCCCTTTAGGCAACTTTAGTCTCTACTCTTGTCTGTTTGTTCTTGAAGAGGGCAAAATAAGGACAGAGAAGTGGTATCCAAGGTGTTGAATCAACACAAGTCCAAACAGCACAAACCTCAGCAAGGGTGCTGAGATCCTCCTTCCTTGCCTCCTGTTGGTCACACTAAAGGTAAAGATAGTGGGGGATTTCCTCTGCTACTCTCCAGATCTTCAAAGTTTGTGTCCCTTTAAAGGTTTGATAATGAGGGATAATATCTTCTGAGGGGAAACCACTAATCTCCTTGGGGACTTCCTGATATAATAGCCAGATCCACATGGTTCTAGTGTTTGCATTTTAATAGGTTTTATTTATCCCTCCTTACACTGTAGGTCTAAGGTCACTTTCCCTGACATTTGCCAAAACTTTCCCAAGCAGTTGTTTCCAGTAGAGCTTATCCCAGGGTATCCCAATAGGGTAGTGGTGCTGATTGAACAAATCAGTAAATCAGACCCAGGTGACTATTTCATTATCTGGGTGCTCATGATATCCTTATCAATCCAGGGTGGGGGTTAAAGAAGTTCTAAGGGAAGTTAGAACTTCTCCAACAGATTTCCTTGGGTGCTTACCGGAGGATGGAAACTCATTCTGAGTGTATTAGTTTATTTTCACACTGCTATATGGAGATACCCAAGACTGGGTAATTTATAAGGGAAAGAGGTTTAATTGACTCAGAGTTAAGCATAGCTGAGGAGGCCTCAGAAAACTTACAATCATAGGGTAAGGCAAAGGGGAAGTAAGGCACCTTCTTCACAAGGTGGCAGGAAGGAGAATTTCCAAGCAAAGGGGGAAGAGCCCCTTATAAAACCATCATATTGTGAGAACTCACTCACTATCATGAGAACAGCATGGTGGAAACCACTCCCATAATTCAGTTACTTCCACCTGGTCTCTCCCTTGACATGTGGGGATTATGGGGATTACAATTCAAGATGAGAGTTGGGTAGGGACAAAGAGCCTAACCATATCATTCCACCCCTGGCCCCTCCCAAATCATGTCCCTTTTACATTTTAAAACCAATCATGCCTTCCCAACAGCCTCACAAAGTCTTAATTCATTTCAGCATTAACCCAAAAGTCCAAATCCAAAGTCTCATCTGAGACAAGGAAAATCCGTTTCGCCTATGAGCCTGTAACATCAAAAGCAAGTTAGTTACTTCCTAGACACAATGCGGGTACAGGCATTGGATAAATACACCCATTTGAAATGGAATAAATTGGCCAAAACAAACAGGTTACAGGCCTTATGCAAATCCAAAATCCAGTGGGGCTGTTAAATCTTAAAACTCCAAAATGATCTCATTTGACACCATACCTCACATCTAGGTCATGCTAATGCAAGAAGTGGGCCCCCATGGTCTTGGGCTGCTCTGCCCCTGTGGCTTTGCAGGGCACAGTCACCCTTCTGGCTGCTTTTATGGGCTGTCATTGTCTACTGCTTTTCTAGGCACATGGTGCCAGCTGTCAGTAGATCTACCATTCTAGGGTCTGGAGGATGGTGGCCCTCTTCTCACAGCTCCACTAGGCAGTGCCCAGTGGAAACTCTGTGGGGGCTCTGATCCCACATTTTCCTTCCACACTGCCCTAGCAGAGGTTCTCCATGAGGACTCCACCCCTGCAGCAAACTTCTGCCTGGACATCCAGGCATTTCTATACATCCTCTGAAATCTAGGAAGGGGTTCCCCAACCTAGATTCTTGACTTCTGTGTACCCATAACAGCCTGAGCTGTGCCTTGGCCCCTTTTACCCACAGCTGGGACACAGAGAACCAAGTTCTGAGATTGCACAAAGCAGCAAGGCCCTGGGCCTGGCCCACAAAACCATATTTTCCTCCTAGGCCTCCAGTCCTGTGATGGGAGGGGCTGCTATGAAGACCTCTGGCATGCCCCAGAGACATTTTCCTCATTGTCTTGGTGATTAACATTCGACTTCTTGTTATTTATGCAGATTTCTGCAGCTGGATTGAATTTCTCCTCAGAAAATGGGTATTTCTTTCTATCGCATTGTCAGGCTGCAAATTTTCTAAACTTTTATGCTCTATTCCCTTTTAAGCATAAGCTCCAATTCCAAAACATCTCTTTGTAAATGCATAAAACTGAGCACTTTTAACAAAACCCAAGTCACTTCTTGAATGCTTTGCTGCTTAGAAATTTCTTCTGCCAGATACCCTAAATCATCTCTTTCAAGTTCAAAGTTCCACATATCTCTAGGGCAGGGGCAAAATGTTGCCAGTCTCTTTGCATACCAAGTAACATTTACTCCAATTCCAAATGAGTTCCTCATCTGCACCTGAGACCACCTCAGCGTGGACTTCATTCTCCACATCACTATTGGCATTTTGGTCAAAACCATTTAACAAGTCTCTAGGAAGTTACAAACATTCCCACATCTTTCTGTCTTCTTCTGAGTCCTTCGACTTCTGCTTGCTACCCAGTTCCAAAGACACTTCCATATCATCAGGTAACTTTATAGCCACACCCCACCCTCTGTGGTACAAATGTATTATATTAGTCTATTTTCATACTTCTATAAGAAAATACCCAAGACTGGGTCATTTATAAAGAAAAGAGGTTTAATTAACTCACAGTTCAACATGGCTGGGGAGGCCTCAGGAAACTTACAATCATGATGGAAGGCAAAGGGGAGGCAAGGCACCTTCTTCATGAGGCGGCAGGAAGGAGAAGTGCTGAGCAAAGGGGAAAGAGGCCCTTATAAAATTATCAGATCTCATAAGAACTCACTCATTATTACAAGAACAGCATGGCGGAAATCACCCTCACAATTGATTTACCTCCATCTGGTCTCTCCGTTCACATGTGGGGACTATGGGGATTGTGAGGATTACAATTCAAGGTGAGGTTTGGGTGGGGACACCAAGCATAACTATATCACTGGACAATTGCAGTAAGTCTCGGTCTGTCTTTAGGTGTTCTTCTTCCTTGCCCATGGCATTGCATAAGGTGGCTGTGGCCAGACTGTCTTGGAGCACAGGGCCAATTACTAAGTGACTAAAATAATTCCATTTCTTTTTATCTACCAACACTTGTGTAGTGCCCTAATCTGCGAATCAGACGAGTCACATGTTTATAATACCATAAGGCTTTTGCCCAAATTGATATCCAATTTTTCTTGTTTGGGTTTATTGTAAGGGAAAACCTCAGTATTTTTATGGGTAACTAATTACTGTTGATTGTCAGGAACCAGGCCCGAGGAAAGTGGGCTCACCTTCCCAGTGGCGCCAAATGGTGAGTAACAACCACAGTATACTTTCTTGGTTTCGTAGGTTCTATCTCTAATTCTAACCACCAAGGTAACTCATCAATCATCTTAGACATCATGGCCCAGAAACAGTTACCTCTATTGTTACCGAACACTTTAGCAACCAAGTTTTCTTCCACTCACCAACAAGCTGTACTTTATCTGACCACCCAGCCCACCAGACTCCTGTTGTCATTCTTCCAAAAAAGCATTGTGATCTCAATAGCCCAAAGTTGGGAGCCAAATTTGTCAAGAAGGCTGAATGATTCAGTTGGTAAATAAAATATAAACCCAGATAAAGTCATAGTTTTTCACTTACATTGTCAGCCAAACAAGGTCAACAATGATGGCAGTGCTCCACGTCCCATGTTCCTTGTCCCACAGGTTGACACTCAAACAAAAGGGGCAAAATGACATGCAAATAAGTTACGAGGCACTATGTTCTGTGGAGCCAATTCCACACAGCAGCTAAGCAGTTTTATAGTCTGCAGCTGTACCCTAAGAGGAAACAGGGCAGAAAACACCCCTCTGGGAATTAGAGAGGCAGATGAGGAGCTGCCTGTGAAAGTCTCTCTCAAGGTAAGGGAGTAGGTGAGACATTGCCTTGCAGCAGTTCCTCAAAGACTGCCCACCTTCCTGTTCCTGCAGGACCACAAGGCATTCTGGTAAGGCTTACATCACATGAGCCTTGACTGTGTGGCCTATAAGCTATAAGGTCACCAGGGCACCAGTATTCCCACCACTATGAAAATTTGTTCAGGTCCTAGGGAAACCACTCCTGAAACCCTTCCTGACTCACATAGGTTTTCTTTGAAGGGCTCACAGCCCCATGCCCAGAATGTGTCCAGTGGGACCAAATGCTAAGCGTAATCTAGAAACAGAATGTTTCAGTCTCAAGCTTCTGAACAGAATAGTCATATTCCGTGGGTTATTTCTAAGAATCATGATCATGAACACGTAGCATGTTAGATATCAGTGTATTTTACCTAAACACAGAAAGGTAGTAGAGAAATCTGTTGAAAAGGATACTATAAAAGTTCCTTGTTTTATCTTCTTATTCTTATAAGAAGGAAAATATTTTCAGCCCTTTTAATTATAACGTGTTTTGAGAGAAAAAGAGAGAGGGAGACAGAGAAAGAGGGAGAGGGAGAGAGACTATTGTAATCATTTTGCTATCTGAAAACAGTCCCCTATCCTGCTGTCACTCAAGGAGACACATTTTAAACCAAGTTTTTTTTTACCATGTTCTTCATTTGTTGGTCTTTTCACAAAGAAACTTTGCTGACAGGAATATTTTTTTTCCATCTAGAGATACAATTTATTTGAAGAGAAGTTCTGGAGTCCTCAAATAATTCAACAATGAATTGATGACAATCTAGCATTTGATACAGATAGTATAATAACTGAATTAATTATTTCTTCTACAGCAAGATCATCTAAGCTGTAGCCCAGCATGATGATGTTGAATTGTGGCCAAGAATTAGTTATGAAAGTAATGCAGCAAATACAGCACTTAACATGAAGATTGACCACTTTTTATGATGTTTTGCTATACTAGGGGTTTCTCACGGTGTAGTACACTGCTGCTGCTATGCAAAATGATAAGAGGTGTTGTTTGTAATAACATTTTAAATGTTTATAAGTATATATTTATTTATGGTTATTTTTGCAATAGTGATTTGAAGCTTTTGTTCAAAATAGGTTAAACTATTAATTATGTAATGGCATAGCTACCTATAGAGATATGGAGACACTCATAAGGGTATTAAGATGTGATTGGAATTTGGAATCACTAAGTTGGAAAGAAAAACCAATTTGATGTTGTGGGTTGCACCTATAGCCCCTATTATTCAGCTTTCCCTGTATGTACACTCTTTCCATGTGATTTTGCAAATTCTTTCCCTAAATGGGTGATGAACATTTCTCTGACCCTTGAGATCATTTTGGTAATGTAACTTATTTGGCTAATAGAAGATGAGAAGTGACAGTGTGCTGGTGCTGAATCTAGAACTTAAGAGGCCTTGCATGTTTCCACTTGTTGCCTTTGCACCTTTGCATCAACATGAGAAGAACACCTATTAGCTAGCTTGATAGTCTAAGGAGATTGAGAGACACATAGGAGAGAGTCACCTCAGCAGAGTCCATCCTAGCTCTGCCTAAACCCAAGCAAATTGCAAATGTATGAGAAATAATAAATGTATTTTAAGCCACTGAGTTTGGAGGTTGTTTGTTATGTAGCAATAACATAATATCAATTGATAGAGAATAAGAAGCAAACAATATATGTCTGCTAGCCATTTTAATAAATCCCTAGAAAGCACCCAAATGATTTCACATCTATTACTTACTCCAAGTCATCTTCACAATACTGCCATGAAAGTGAAATGGGAAAGTTTTCTTATCTCCCTCACAGGGAGTGTGATGAGAGTGTTGCTTGCTTCTTTGGTGCCCTGCTGCTCACACCTCTAGGGGAGCATGCAGATGGGCAGGTTGTAGGGATCTGACCCCACAGCAGTGTCTAGAGGTGAATATTTACAGCTCCTGAAGCCCCAGTGGGCAGGGGTTACAGTGCACTCTTTTAGTTTTGCCATCTGTAGGTGGCTTGTGTTAATAGGCTCAATTAGATCATCTGCTTTACTGCAAGGACAGAGGGCTTTCTGTACTCCAGTGTTCTTGCCTTGGTGCACCAGCAAAATTGGATCACACGTGGGCTTGGAGAATGAGTGTAAGGTTTTATTGAATGGTTGAAGTAGCTCTCAATAGATGAATGGGGAGCCAGAAGCCGGATGGAGTGGGAAGGTGGGCTTCCCCAGAATCAGGCCATCCGGTGGCCAGAATCTCCTCCAACCCCTGCCTCCCACCGAATTCCAGGTGGTCTCATTTTGATAGCCTACTGGCATCTGCTGGTGCCTGTCAGTGTGCTCTTCTGCTTCTCTGCTCCTCTCAACGTCCAGCTACCTGTGTGTTCTTCTGCTGGTGTGTTTCTCTCAATGTACAGAGGCATGTGTGTGTGCCCCCTAGGGTCTCAGGGTTTTTATAGGCATCGGATGGAGGGCGTGGAGGGCCAGGGTGGCCTTGAAAAATGCAATATTTAGACATGAAAACAGGAGTTCCTGTCCTCACCTAGGTCCGTGGGCACAGGCGCAAAGGTGGAGCCCTCGCCAGGGACCCTGCCTTTCTCTACCCATCACTTCCCTGCCCCCTCTCCTGTATCAAAGGCAGCAGATCCTATAGCACAACCATTCATTCTACAGATGAGGAGACAAAGTTTCTGCAAAATTCACTGAATTTCTTTTGTAACTCTCATGACTAGATTATTGGTGATACATTTTTAAAACACTAAATTAGAGCCCAATATTATTCCATTATCACTGGGCATACATCACTGGAAAGTAAATCATTACATTTGATTTTTTTTTTATTTCTAGAAACTTGAGCTATTTCCAGAGATTCCACATAAAAAGAAGAGAGATGCCTCAGTATTGATTTAAAAATGGATAGAAAATATTAATTTTTTTCCTAGTCATAGCATTTAGGTTCTTCTCATTTACAAAAAAAAATTAACAATATACTACACAATGGCTAAAAATAATCTATAGAAATACGGGATTATTTTCAAGACACCATGTTAAATTTGTTAAACAGTTCAGGAAAACATGTAGGATTGATAACATTTATGAAAAATATTAGATATTTTGTGATTTTATTTTTGTATCCATGAATATACTGCATGAATGTAAATATAAGTAAAGATGGATGGAAGTTTTCACAAATTGAAGGGTAGTTACCTCACAATGAAAAGAGAGGTGCCTAATATTTCTGGGTAATGAGGAAAGTGGACTGCAGCCTTATAAGCAAGTTAAAATTCCTATAAAGAGACTGTATCTATCTATTGTTTGCACAATAAAATATTAATGCAAAATGGAACGTTTTTTGGATGAGCAATGAATTATCTGAAGTCAAAGAAATGACTTTATTTTTGCATCCAAACTAGCATTATGCAACACTGCACATTTTGCATGTTAAGGTGGATTGAAAATAACTTGCCAAAATAACAAACAGAAAAGTTCACAAGTTTCCCATATTAATGATCATGAAGAAACAAGAATGCTCCCTTAAGTAGACAAACAAAGCCTTTGCTTCCTCAGACACAGAGATAAGATATAAGGGATGTGTTTAGATAAGGGATGTGTTAAGATATAAGGGATGTGTTAAGATATAAGGGATGTGTTAAGATAAGGGATGTGTTTATTGTTCTTTCTGATGTGAATGCTCTAATACTGTCACACATAGTGACTTCAACAGTAGAGAAAATAAGCAAAGTTAGTATCAATTATTAAAATAATTTGTGCATCACTTGTTTCTAGTGTTAAAGAAAGCCTGGATTAAGATCTCAATGTTAATTCACAGACACGGTTGTGGATACGTGGAACAATTCAGCAGCATCATTCTTTGTTCTTTGCCCTGCACATTCCATTGACTATTCCTGGACGTGAGCAGAAAACGGAAAAGTAGACAGATTTCATGAAATAGCTAGATGAATGTCTCAAGCAGCTTGGAAACAGCTGCTACAAGTATTTTCTTCATCATTGC
Source organism: Homo sapiens (assembly GCF_000001405.40). NCBI lineage: Eukaryota > Metazoa > Chordata > Mammalia > Primates > Hominidae > Homo > Homo sapiens. Next base: position 162,243,054 of record NC_000005.10, read on the forward strand.
ACTTGTTTTGAGCCCTCTTCTTTTGTATTCAACTCCCCACTTTCACTATACTTGTCTCCCAACATATTTAATAAATAATGAAAGTTACATTGAGAATAGAAAAGAGCCTAAGCTAAACAGTGAAGTCAGCAAATGAAAAAAACAAGGACAATAAAACCAATGAGTCAGGAAGGTGGCTCGGTGGAGACTACATTTTCTTTTTCTCCTTTAGTTACTTGCGTAACTTATTGCTGTTATTCTCCACTTTTCTGATTTCTCAAATAGACTATGTTCCTTTTTGAAGATCTTCTCTAATATCTTTATTTTCATCATACCAGCGTCTAAATTTTTCTCATGAAGAAGCATACTTTGCCATCATTCTGTGAAGCCATTATCCCCATTTGACAGCTGAGGAAGTCCATATCGGATTTTCCCATGGCCACAGAGACTTACTCTGTAACACCCTTAGTTCATTTTCCCCTTAATAGACAAAATGATTTTTTAAAATATGTGTCAGAACATATGAGCTTTCTTGTTAAAATATTCCAATAGCTTTCTGCGTATTTAACATAAAATCCAAACTCTTTCTATGCATATAAGGCCCTATTAGGATCTCATCCTGGAAACTCCTTCAATTTCATCTCTTACTCCTGTCCCCATTGTTCATTATACTTTAGCTACTATGTCTTCTTTCAGTTGATAAAAAAGCAAAGTCTGTTTCTACCCCCAGCTCTTGCCCTTCTCTTTTCTCTGCATGGAATGCTCTCCTCAGATTTCCATAGAACTAGTCCTTCTCGTCATTCAGGTCTCAGACCAAATATTTCCTCTTCCAGGATTTCTTCTAGATTGCCTCATCCAATGTCACCAGATTCCCTAGAATTATGTGGATCAAGAGTAGGAAGGAGCTCAGTTCTTGCCATATTGGCAATCAGAATATGGATTTTTCGAAGAAGGTAAGAAAATTCGAAGCTATGGAAATAATAACAAGGAAATTCATCTCAAATTGGGTAACTTTTCATCTGAGCGTCAAAATAGTGTGCATGAAATGGAGTAGAGGAAGAATAAAACATGTACAAAATATAGTCAAAAGTAGAGAAGGTTTGACTTGATAAAGGAGGTTTTACAAAGTGAGAATAGACAGGTTGAGAATTAGAGGGTAACTGAAGGAAGACATCAAATGCTGGGCATAAAACATGAGATGATTTGATTTGCTAAGCAGCTAGGCTTTTAAGCACAGTGTATTACTGAACGCTTCTGAGAAAAAAAAGGGATTCGGTGAAAACCCTTTTTTGAAGAACATTTTGTCTGCTATTTGTCAAATGAGATAACAGTTGCACTAATTACAGAAAATATATGACAGAAATAGTAAATATACACTGTACTTATCAAAGCAATAAACCTACAGCTCAGTAAATTTAATCTGGCTATTCTAAAGTGCTACATGCTGTGACTGAGTCCTTTGGTGAGCACACTTAATATTAATAAGGGAGTTTTCAAATTAAGAATTTCTATTTCAGCCTGTTTCCTTACAATTAATGTAACTTTATGGGGTATCTTGGGAAGTTAGTTAAATTTAAATGGAGACATTTCTTTTTAGAAAAAACTGAACTATTTTAATTGATGTTCATGCTTCTATATATATATATATATATCACTTTGGAATGCAAATTTAGTATGCAGTCAGATCTGTTTCCAATCTCAGGTTTTCCATTTGCTAGTAGATTAACATTGAATAAAATACATTAAATTATTTGTATATGTACAAGAAAATAGGGGTTAAGTCATCTCATAAGTTTCTCAAAATCATATTTTCTATATTATGAGGTATCACTAAAATACCGAACACACAGAACAGGTGAAGTACACCAAAAGAAAATGCACTATCTGAAGATTATGTGACGATGATATAGTTAGTGATACCTACTCTATACTAGGCACTTTGATAAATAGTGAGATAAAGTTATGATCAAGTGTATTTCCAGCCCTCAAGAAAATTGTTATCTAATAATCAAAATATTTTCTGTAGCTCAGCTAGAAACCATCTTCTGCACAGCTATGAATTTGCTATTCATTAATGCTATTTTATAAATCCTGGAATAAATTTTATGTAAATCAATCTCATGATGATAACACAGACCAGAACTATATAGTTTTGGAGATTCAAGCACTTTCAGTTTATTCTAGATTAATTGCTCTATTATATAAACAATATATTTGACATGACTAAGAATATTTAGAATAAATGACATGACTCTACTTTGAAATTTTTCACCGTTTAAATGGTGTTACAAAAATATAAATGTCAAGTTGACATAAAGACATAGTGATTAGTAAATTTAATTTCCTTTGCGTTGCATATCGCTTTACTAAAAAAAAAAAACAAGTCTTAAGTACTTACTAAAGTGTTCACAGCATGCTATGTGTCCTGGTACATTTTCAAATAATAATAATAAAAGATCTATAATAATATATTCATAAGATGCATGTAATTATAATTTTTTGTTATTATAAGATTTGTTTTGATAATAGTAAAAGATCTATTATTTTCTTACTGTGTGCAAGGTACTCTACTTTGTATTTTATATGCATTTTCTCATTGATTCTACATGGAAACCTTATGAGGTTAAATTTTGTAATAAATACATTTAGGGTTTCTTGCGTAGCTCATGCTCCCATCTTTGAAATTGCCATTTGCCAGATGAGGATATGAGGCTAGGTGCTGTGTTTAATATATATTTTATCCCTGTGGTCACAATTGAGCAGAGAAGAGATTCTGAGTGTTTCAAATTGGACATGAGAAGACCAGGAAAATTAAATGATGATATGAGCTTAAACAAAAACATAGTGAACGATACAGGCCAGAATCTGTTCTTTTTTCAGAATAATGCCAAGAATAAATAACACTTTTAGAGGTACAAAGAAGACATGAAAGCTAAAAAAAAAAAAAAAAAAAAGAAAAAGAAAACAAAAGAAAATCTCATCCTCAAGTAAAATATGGAGAATTTAAAGGGTGCATAGAAAGATTCAGAGGCAGAAATTTCAGTCACTATGTGTGCTGGTTGAATTTCATTTTTGTTCTATCATTTAAATTGCTTATTGTACACTTCGGAAAAACCCCTTATTCATTTGTATTGTATTACTTTATTAATATAGTGCTTTGTACTGAATGAACCCTGAGTAAGAATGAAGATACTATTTGTCCAACGTTCTTGCCAAAATTTTATATTGTAGTATTTCTATTAGCTATTCCAGCATTTTTTGTGGAATTATATCATTTTTTAGCTTTAATTTTTATTCTCCTAATGACTAATGATTTTTAGTACCTTTTTTGATCATTCATTTATCTTTCTTTATATTTATCGTAGACATAAATATAAATGTCAGAGTAAAGACTTTAAATGAAAATTTGAGCAAATATCTTCATAATCTTGGAGTACACATGTATTTCTTAGATTTGACCAAAATGTACTAACTATACAAGAAAAAATAATAAGTCATATTCATCAAAATTAAAAACATCTGCCCATCAAAGACATTAGTAAGAAAATAAGTTGAAAAGCCACACTCTGAGAAAAGAACTATTTGTAATACATACGTTTGGCAAAAGCTCAAATTTATAATACACAGAAAACTTATATAACAAACTTCCATAGGCAAGCAACCCAATTAAAAATGGATAAAAGACTTGGATACATCTAAAGAAAGATAAATTAATGATCAATAAGCATGTAAAAGTACTCAAATTATTAGTCATTAGGGAAATATAAATTAAAGCTACAAAAAGATATAATTCCATAAATGCTGGAATAGCTAATAGAAATACTACAATATAAAATTTTGTCAACAGTGTTGGACAACTAGTATCCTCATTCTTAGGGCTCATTCAGTACAAAGTACTATACTAATATAATAACGCAATACAAGTGAATAAAGGACTTTTTCAAAGTGTGCAATAATCAATTTTACTGACAGAACAAAAATGGAATAGAGCCAGCACACATAGTGAGTGAAATTTCTGCTTCTGAATCTTTCTATGCATCCTTTAACTTCTCCATATTTTACTTGAGGATCACTTTTCTTTAGCTTTTATATCTTCTTCGTATACTTACAGAGAAAGGGGTTGAGATTATTTTTTCCGTTCAAATAACCAGTTTTTCTAACTATTTTTTATTAAAAGTTTTTTATACTTTGTGTTTCAATTGGATAATTCCTATAGAATTGACTTCAAGTTCGCTGACACTTTCCTTTTTAGTTGCTAGCATGCTGCTAAATCTGTCAATTGAATTCATTTGGTTTATTTTTATAGTTTTTATCCCTGTGATGAAATATCCAGTTTATTATTAAATGTTACACATGTTTTTTTCAACTAAATCCATGCATACATTTTTCAAATCTAGGCTATCTCTGTATCTGTTTGAATTTTCTGTTTCCTCTCTTTTTTGTGTGTGATGGAGTCTCACTGTGTCGCACAGGCTGGAGTGCAATGTTGCAATGTCAACTCACTGCAACCTCTGCCTCCCAAGTTCAAGCAATTCTCCTGCCTCAGCCTCTCAAATAGCTGGGACTACAGGCACACGCCACCACTCCCAGCTAATTTTTTGTGCTTTTAGTAGAGACACAGTTTCACCATGTTGGCCAGACTGGTCTCGAACTCCTGACTTCAGGTGATCCACCCGCCCCGGCCTCCCAAACGTGTTGGAATGCCTCCCAAAGTGTTGGGATTACAGGCGTGAGACACAGCGCCCAGCCTGTTTCCTGCCTTGACTATGGACCACAGTTTCTTGTTTCTACATGTTTGGTAATTTTTACCGTACATCAGATATTGAATATAAAAGTATCTAGTACATTTGCAAAACAATATTTAGCCTAGAAAATGGTACACTCTTATTTCTGTAAGGTCTCTACTATTGAGGCTGAGTATAGCCATATTTTACCTGGGTCTGGACTTCGTTGCAGCTTTATTCCTTTTGTTCACCATTGGCTTCCACCATTTGGTGAAAAGAACAACGACATTTTCTTCATCCAAGCTTGGGACTTGAACATCAGCAAAATGTCAATAATTTTCATGTGCCTTTCCGGATGCCAGCTTTCAAGCCGTGGGAAGTCACTTTCTAATTTAAGCTCGGCACCAGGCCTTTGGGACACTGAGAAATCCTCTCTCATGTCTAGGTTAATCCTTGGGAAGGTTTCTGGGAATCTCCCTCCCTCAAGTGGTCTCCATTCGACCCTTTGAAACAGAGCTGCAATGCTTTCAGTGAACACCAGGGGTGCCCGAGAAGGATTTCTCTTTCTCAGAGTTCCTACCTCACCGGTGCGGCCTTTGGAGGGTTTCCGCAATACACACAGAGACGGTGAAGAGTGGCTTAGGAGGATTTATCTCAGCTTTCCTGTCCTCCTCACCATCGCTGACAGCGGTTACCTGCATTTGACAATGACACATTGTGTCTCAGGTAGTTGTTCTCTGGCTCTCCTGCCCTGCTTAGCTAAAGTAAGCCACTGCCTTGCAATGGGGACAGCACCTCAGGGATGGGATTCCCCTTAATTCTCCTGTCCTATCTCAGCTTGATTAAGGAAAGACTAGTAGAAAAAATATTAGTAGAAGAATGCAACTGAATTTGTGACTGGGTTTCCTCAGTATTCTAATCTATCAAACCAGCCCACAAATGTCCATTAAAACTGTATTAAATGTTCAGCTGATTCCTCCTTCTGCCTTTCTAAGGAAGATGTCTTATCCTCCTCTTTCTTCACCAGAAATCAAAGCAGCTGGGAGCTCTTCTGCCTTTGAAAGGATCCATCACTTTCTGAAGTGGAGTTCATACACTTTTGATGTTGTTTTGTTTTCATCTTCAGCTCTCTGATGTTTTGTTTTATTTGCTTTCTTTGTTTGTTTTAATGTTGACTTTGTAGCTTCTTTAGCTTGCTCTTTATATTAAAGTGGAGCCCATAGTCTCTTACAGCTTTGTACATCCCAGTGAAAAGTAGATATTTACTATTAAGTTCGTATTTTTATTATTTTTTTTACACCTCCGAGTCATACCTCTAAGAAAAGCTAATTTATTCTAAAGAAAATCATGTATTTTCTGACATAAAGTCTCATTTTTAAGTAGTTCATTATACATTTTTAAATATACTTCTTAGCTACCCATATTTTTCTCTAATTTTCTCTTCTGTAAAATTTCTACAAGTCTTTCCAAGTAAATAAAACTCTGTTAGTATTAATAAAAAACAATTTTACTTTATGTGAGTAGTGAGGTCTCATATTTATAATTCCCAAGCTACAATATTTCCAAGGAGCTTTTAGAAAGAGTTGATAGAACATGCTGTTAATGATAACATTTTTTCTCCAAAGAAAAAAAGAAATACCAAAAAAATTTCTCAAAATCCATACTTTCATTTTTCATTTCTTTTTCAATCAAAAATATCTGAAATAATTTCTTAAGTCTTAAGGTGAATGAAGATCTTTGGACAGAGTTTTTGTAGTTATTGACATTCATAAATAGTTCTTGACAAAACTGTTTACATTCATATGTTTTCAAATAAAGAAAATATAAGATAATTTTGGATACCTCCATTGATTGATATAGTGAACTACCAAGATGTTCACTTCAATCATTTATGATTTACTTCTGAAACACCCACAAAAATGTCACTTTTCCTTATGCTGTATTATGACAGGATGTTTCATTATGCCAACTAAAAATACAACATAAAGTAACCCAACATAAAAGATGTAATAAAACTTAAAAATATGTAACAAAAGCATTCATTTCAAAAGGAATTAATAATTAAAGCAATAAGATTAGTTGTACGCTAATTTGTATTTTTGAAGTTAGTCATGTTCCTCAGTAGCATCTTTCTTTTGTCACATTAAAATTGTAGGGACAGCAAAGAGCCATTTGATTTCTTAATTTTTTCCTTCTTCAAAGTGGACTTTATGAAGTATATCATTTTTTTCATGAGCATATAATGATACAATGTGACATGCTGTGAGGAACCAATGCCTACTGCTATTCAAATCAGAGCAGCGTATTGAAGGATCTGAGGCTCAGAAATCTTCTATTATGTTTTCTTTCCAGTGAGGTTCTTTATAGAATTCCTCAATAGAGGGATATAATATTCATTCTGTAGGTGATTTCCAAAATTGTGACTATTAGTGACTTTATCTATTAAGTTATTTATGCCTCTGTGGTTAAAAAAATGACAATGATAGTAGCAGTCATATTTTAGTGAACACTAGTAATGTGTCAGACACTATGCTATAAACATTATATATATGTTGTTATTTAGTCTTTATAACAATCTTATAAAGTGGGCTTTATTATTCTCATCTTATGGATGAAGACAGACAGTTTAAGTGACTGGACCAAGATTGTACAGTTATTAAGTACCTGAGTGAGAATTCAAATCTAGCACTATCTGATTTTCTCCCTGTATGAAGAGTGAATATAAGCCAAGCCCTACCCTGCATTGTAGGCATCAGCATGAGAAACACAGCCAGAATCTGGATCTTTACTACTAAAATAATACTACAGGTACAAACCATCATAATTGATAAATAAATAGATGTAATATATTTAAAAACTTATTTTTCACCAGAAAGGAAAACTGAACCCTAAAGGAAGTTTGCTAGTTGCTCTTCCCTGGTGCTGGCATTAGGCAATGTTAACCAAAACAAGTATTAACTGTAAGAAAATTTATGCATTGTAAATATTATACAATGTTTCACTAGCAAATATTTCATAGATAAAAACTCATGCAATTGTAATTATTCTAAGCTGTCAAAGAAGTAATTCTAATCGATAGCTTATTTTAACTGTGGGGCTGCAAACTGCAAGTGCAAATACATTTTCCCCTTTCGTCTGCTTCTATAGATAGGAACACCACTGATTAAGGATACATTTTAATGCACAAATGGTCAAAATTTAAAGGTAACAAAATGTAGACATGAAAGTGTTCAATAATTCCTTCGTTTCTGGGTTTTAAACAGACATATTTTTGGCCTATGCAAATTACAGTCACTGAAATCATCGGGTTCTTTTTTTGTCTTGTTTTGTTTTTTTTGTTTTTGTTTTTGTTTTGTTTTGCTTAAGGGACATTTTCTAGGGACTCAAATGGCTTAACGTACTGTCCCCCCCCCCCAATATTATGGTAATAAATTATAAACCATAAAGCTGGATTCACCAAATTCTGAAAACTATTTCACAGTTTATAGCAGGATGATAAATAAAACTTTCTAATGTGTTAGTCAAAACTCCATCAACCACATTAACTCAGCTATAGGTAGCTCAGTATGTGTCGTCATGATGCATACTGCATGCATCATGAATGCATCGTACAGTATGATCTATCGAATTATACTTATGACTTTGTTTTGTTTTTTTTGTTTAATTTAAAGTTTCTAAACAGGAGAAACAGTGTCGAGGGCTATGACTGACACATGTCTGGAGATATCAGATTATTTTTTCTCTTGAATGGAACAGGTGTTCAGCCTAAAACCCCAGATAATTTTTATAATATTTACATAAACAAGATAAAGTGATTCTTCAGGACATTCATAGGTAACTATTTTGGGAAAGTTACTGCTTTCTCAGAAATTTTTTAAATGGATGACATTCCTTTCTAGAATGCGAGAAAGGAAGCACCACCAATTGCAAATAGACAAAGTTGGGTCGTAAAACCCAAGTTTGCCTGTAAAATCTATAGTTATCTCCCCTTTTTCTTTCAGACTTTAGTTATGTTAATCTTTTCTCTCTCTCTCTTTTTAAATTTTTAAGTTAACCTAGCTAAAAGTTTGTCAATTTTGTTTAGCCACCCAAAGAACTGACTCTTGGTTTCATCGATTTTCTCTGTTTGGTCTGTTCTCTATTTTGTTTATCTCTGCTCTCATCCTTATTTCTGTATTTCTACTGTCTCTGAGTGCAGTTTGTTCTTTTCTAGTTCCTTAAGCTGTAAACATTTTGTAGTTTCTTAAAGTAGATATGAAATATTTCCTTTTTTAATGTAAGAGTTTATAGCTATAAATTTGCTGCATCTCATAAATTTTAGAAAATGATGTTTTCATTTTCATTTGTCTGAAGATATCTTCTAATTTCCCTTTTGATCTCTTCTTTGATGCAATGGTTCTTTAAAAGTGTGTTTTTTAATTTGCACGTATTTCTGTATTTTAAAATTTTTTCTCTGTTATCTCGTTTCATTCTTTTGCAAACAGAAAAGATACTTTGTATAATTTTCAATCTTTTAAAATCTATCAGGACTTATTTTATGACATAATATGTGATGTCTCCCCAAGAATGTTCCATGTACACTCGAGAAAAATGTGTATTCTGCTGTCACTGGTTGGGGTGTTCAGTTTATGTCTGTTAGGTCCGTTTGTTTATGACATCCAACTTCTTTTAAGAATTTGCGGTGAAACCATGTTCTTACTCATAAGTGGGAGCTGAACAGTAAGAATACATGGACACAGGGAGGGGAACATCACACACTGGGGCCTGTTGGGGATGGGGGAAAAGGAGAGGGAGAGCATTAGGACAAATACCTAATGCATGCGGGGCTTAAAACCTAGATGATGTGTTGATAGGTGCAACAAACCACCGTGGCACAGGTATACCTATGTAACAAACCTGCATGTTCTGCACATGTATCCCAGAACTTAAAGTAAAATAAAAATAAAAATAAAGAATTTGTGGTGAAAATTGGAAATAAGTACACAGAAGGGGCAGAAAAATAAAGTGATAACATTATGGATTTATATTATAAATTTTTTTGAAGTTCATATTCATTTTTCTTTTCTATAGCCTCAACATCTACACAAACAGGCTGGGAACACCCTTCCCCACTGTGATAATGATGGTTCCTGCCACAAGTTTCCCTTCCTGCCCTTCCCTGGTTATGATCTAGTAATATTCAAAAACCCCAATGAAGTCTCATGCCTTTTCATATGTCCTCCACACTGACCCCTAATAATGGCAACTGCCCACAGGTCCTCTATCTCTTTAGGCTCTCTACTTGCTTAGTTGAACCAACTCCATAGGTGTTCCTCTTATGGCTTTTTCTTGGTGTGTAGTGACTCTGTCTCTCTAGGACCTGTGGTTACATAATAAACTTTATTTTTCTGAGTCTCTTCTTTGTTTACTCTTATGGCCGCTCTTGACTGACCATTAACTAAAATGTCACAGAACAAATTTCTACAACTCGAATTGATCATAAACCTAACCAAACCTCTAGTTATACAGCAGGAGAAACTGATGCGTATTAGAATTGAAAATCTAGCTTAAAGTAACATAATGACTTATAACAGAACTGGGTCTAAAATACGGATAATTTTGTTTCACCTTTCATATGAATTTTGTTGTGTGTGTGATAATTTCCCAGAATTATGAATTAAGAAATAATCTGCAGCCTCACCTGTGTTCAGTGGGAAGGAGAACTGTAGAGGATTGCTTGGTGTCTGCCAATGGCATTTTAAGGAATGGGCAACCCACTCTCTGATGCATGTCCCTGGGCTTGTGATCCCTGGTCTAGAATAAAAAGCTCTTGTGATTCAGAAATCCATGTTTTCTACCAAGCAAATGACTCTAAAATATGGTACATGTTTCAGTAGTTCTATGTGAGTTTATTTTTAGACAGAATTTTTAAAATGTGCTTTAATAAATATTTTACTTTAAGAATAAGAAAATGTGTAACTAGTATATATATTAAAATGTGCTTTAATAACTATTTTACTTTAAGAAGTAATAAGAAAATGTGTAACTAGTATATATATAAGCACAGTGAATGAAGCTTTTCTGGAAAAAAATATGTGCATAGTGAGTTTAAGAAAAATATAAAATTTGACAACATTGAGAAGTAGTGTTATGTAATATTTAAGATCTTAAACTCTAGTAAGAATCCAGTATAAATTCTGACTCTACCACTTAAACAAGTTTCTTAACTTCTTAACTCCACTATATAGACCAGGTAAACATGATATTTACCCATAGGATTATAGGAGGATTAAATTTCATAATATAAATAAACGCTCAAAACAGTGACTAGAATATTGTAAGCACTGCATTTTAAGTCAACTAGTGTTGACTAGTTGCAGTATTGATGACCCGTACAAAAAAAAATGAAGGTTGTACAGAAACAAATGAAGTTTAAGAGAAGTAATGTATTTTCCTCCATGTCTTTTGACATTGCTGATGAATGGGTCCTTAAGAACTTTAGCCCTGGGACTAGCTAAAAGTCAAAAAAGAAATAATCAACACACCCGGTTTCTGTGATATATTAGGCATTTTAATCCTGTATTCTATAGTTAAGCAAACTTTCTACATGTTCAACATTGTGTCAAGCTTTGAGGAGAGGCTAGTGATACATGATTCTTTACCTTGCAGAGCTCACAGAGTGTGATGGTTTCCAGGAAATTTATTAAATTAACTATCTTGAATAAATAAGTAATACAAAATCCCTGCAAATCATGCACTGTGTTATATTTTCAAGAAACACGAGGGCATCTTCAAATCCAGTAATTGCTGACCTTAAAGCTTTTTCAAAAGACAAATGTAATGGCAAAAAAGGTTTACCTAGCATAAAATTGACGTGCATCTGTCACTTGAAAAGATGATTTCTAATAAAATAAAATCAGCATTTATATTTGCTATCATCTTCAAGTTATATAAGCCACACTGTTTAACCAATTTTTCTGTCTACAATTTCTTTGCCACATCTTTTATTGCATCGTCTTTTGATCTCTGTCTATTGCAAGAGTTAGTCTCAGCCAGAAGGTATACCTCTAAAATAAATTTAGCTTCTATTGCTGGTTCTTCTTAGTGCTATATTTTTTCAGCAGATACACAAATGCTGTTCTACTTCAGCAATAATTTCTAGTTCCTTAACTCCTTCTGGGCAACCAACTGAAGATTACTAAGACGTTTTCTAACCAGCTGTATCTAGGACCAACTCAGACATCATGGATATTTAGAAAGTTTGGGCTCATTTACTTCAAAGGTGATTGCAGTATTCTGCCTTATAACCTGTTTAACTGCTTTCAGAAACAAGTTTAACACAACCTCTTCTGCAGATTTTCCAGCTGAATAGTGTCAGCTTAGGGCCTTGCAGAAACCCTTTCTTGCTGTCACTCATTTCCCATCCTATGAAATAACTCCAGTTGCACTAGAACATCACCCAAATGGATGGCTTCTTCCATACTCTGGATTATGGAAAAAAGATGTTTCTGCCCAGGTGAGTGAAGACACATTAAGATTAATACAACTTTTTTTCTTTAGACCTCAGTCTTCTACACTATACTCAACTAAAAGAATATAGATAGAATTGATCATTGCCATTAGTTCTATTAATTTTTTTCTACCTGTGACCAAGCTGAATTCCAAAAAAGAGCCTAACATTATTGAAATGGTAAGTTGATGAGAGGCAGTTAGCTGTTTTTTATTATTATTCTTGTTTCTATACCTCTGAGTCCTGACCTCTTAATTCACCAGATTATTAAGTAGTAAGAAATCTGTCCTTTGGAAAACATTTACTTGCATCTATTGTTTATGTTAGATACCAGGACCTCTCCAGTTTATGACCCATTTCTAGTGCTCTAGGGGCAGTGTGAATAGCAGGAAGAGCACAGGTTCTGAACTTAGGTAGACAATAGTTTCCAACCTTAGTACTATGACTGCCAATATTGTGCCTTGAATAGAATTATTAACCTTGTTAATATTAAATTCCTAATCGGCAAAACTGAAATAATAATGCTTATTTTGAAAACTTCTGTAAGTCAAATGAAACAAATATATGTATAAAGTTAGGCCTATAGATGTGATTGGTAAAGTTTAGTTTAATAATGATATTTATTTATATTTTAATCATTCAATCAGCTAGTATTTATTAAGATGTTGTCATTTCAGATACAATTATTCTGCTTCAATGATAAAACTGTATTTTTTCTCTCTGTGGGGTACCTATAAAAGGCCTTCATACTAACTAAATGTAAATTCGAATGTAGCATTATTATAAAATCTTCTGTCTTAGAGAACACTAAAAAATTACAAAAATTTTCTAACTTTTGTTTACATTGGAAATATTTAGAGAATTTTAAATGCATGATACATTGGAATAAAAGCGAGATATTAAAGGAACACAGAAAATAGCACATGTCCCAATATTGTGACAGTCTGCCTTAGTTTTTCAAAAATAGAGACATAAAAACTGAATCCTGAAGAAAGAAGCTAAGTTAAATTGTGAGTGTTCATGTTTTAGGCCTGTGGATGGTCTAAGAAGGCATGAAGTAGAGCTTCCCAATTCTTTTTGTTTTAAAGGAAGGGATATCAATTAAAGTAGGACACATCCTGATATTTTTAGTTAGATTGGTTGACCAGCTGTTTAGTACTTTTCTATGGACCGAAGCTGCTGCTGAAGCTTTTTCTTCAATTTTTCACTTGTCCTATCTGGTCATCTTTGCCTCACACAATCTCTAATTATTGAATATCTAAAAGAAGCACAGTTTGTTCTACTTTTTAGCTGCAATGATTATCTCAAATGGAAGCTGACTGGCTTCTTTTAGAAAACCAGAATAAAGGAAACATGGTGATAGTATCAAACTGGAAGATCAATCCACCCTAGAAGAGCTTTGCTGCACTGGCTGTGACTTGTCAATAGAAGGAGCCTCTTGCAATTAATTTCTGAACTGTTCAAACCAAGCTATTCGATCATCAGGAGTGACATGGTGCTACTCATTTTTGAGATCTGATCATGTGCATGTTAGTCAGGATGTCAGCAGGAAACAGATGGCACTTTCCAATTAGGATAACTCAAGGGAGTTAAATAAAGGGACTCTGCAAAGATGTGGAAGGGTGATCTCCAGGACTGTTTGCACTCCTGAAGGGGTGAGTGGACACAGGAATTATAAAAATTCCTTAAGACAGTCATATGGAGACTGCCACCTGGAGAGGAGATTTGACCTTTTGTTGAGGAATGCAGCCAGGCCAAGGAGAAACCAGAGCTGGGAGAACAAATACCTTGAACATCCTCTCTCTCTTTCTCTCTTTCCAGTTGTCAACCCAGTGAAAGAAGCAAGGGATCCATAAAGGTCAGGCTTTTGGAGACCAAGAGAAGTCTATTTAATAAGAAAAGATGATCTGGAGGGCATAAAAAAGCTATCTAACAGTTTAATTCATGAATCAAAAAGGGGACCAATTCATATGAATGTACTTAATTATTTCCCATCCTTTAAAACTGCACTGTGTATGAAATTATTTACAGAATAGTCTTATGGAAAAAAATGCAATTATTGAAGACTGCTTCTTATATGTGTGTGTGTATGTGTGTATGGTAGTGGTGGGGTGATTCTATTATGCCTTCTTAAATCTCCTGAACTGTATTGCAGGCATCTTAGCTGACCTATTTATCGTCACCAAGAATATCATCGGATGAGCTGGGTCAATTTTAATAACATTTTCTGTAGGATTATCATGTTAGAGTAAACCATAGACCTCACCAAGCAATAAAATTAACCATTAGGAGATATCGTATAGCTCTATAAAACTGACGTAGTAAAGTTAGTATTACCTCTAGATATTATATATTCACAATATGTTTGAGCAAGGAAACCAGGCTCTTTTAAATGATGACACTCAATGATTGAAAGATAATCGATGCCAACAAAAATACTAGAACTGGAGACAGAGACAATTTTCTATTGAATAATCATGAGTTCCTAAATGTGATTCTTATCCATTGGTTTTTAGTAGAATTTTAAGGTGGATATTGCCAGTTTTATATTAGATGACCAATGATATATTTCCAAAAATAGGTCAGATGCTCTCCCTTTGAGTCTGGAAAATACTAACCACATGAGTTAACTTTGAAGGGCTCTTCTGACTTATAGGAGATGAACAATGTTTCCTATGGCCTACACTGAGGAATTTGTTTCCATTCAGACCACAAGCTGTTTCAGTGTATTGTCCCTGTCATGTAATAAATACAAAACAAATATTATTTATTGTTATTACATAGCAAGTTTTAAATTATTCCTTCTCTGTATATATCCTTTTCATCCTGTGTTCTTACATCTTTACAATGTCTTGCTTCTTTCTACCAGGACAAATTAAGTAAAGCTTATCCTAGGGCAGAGATATTCTTTTCATTTTGTTTAAAACCACTACATCTTTCAGGAAATTCAAACAGAGTCAGATTCTATTTGGCTACCCCTTTCCCCTAGAACACTTTCAACTATTTTGTTTTGAGTTTATTGAAAAGTTTTAGAAAATACTCAAAGAAGAAATAATTAAGAAGCCTTGAAGGTGGAAAAATTATGGACCAAATTTTGAAGTCGAGAATGTTCTCATTCGTGTTACATTTGTTTTTTATAATTTTACTTGCTGTCTCTTTGTAGAATTATAGTTATGCCACAGCTATAAATATAAAACAAAGGCTTGGTTTTATAGTTTATTTTCTCTTGTCTAACATTTCCATTGGAAACACTAAGTTTCTGGTTATAAATTTCCTCAGTAGTATTAAGGAAGTCTGCTTACCATCTCAACAGCTAAGTCTGCAGGACCTGAGATGCAAAGCCTCACTCAGATGTTTCTGCTGAACCCTTCTGTGGGTTATTACTCCTGAGTGAATAACTCTATCTTTGGGAATTGTATTCCTGGGTTACTCTTGTTTTTGTTCCATAGATTTTCTGGTAAGGGAAGGAGTAAAGAAAACGTCCTAGTGTAACACCAAACCCCATGTGAGGATGCTCAGAATGGCATAAAGAATGGTAGGGATTAACCATCCGAACACATGGAGAACATTTAGAACAGTATCCAGCAAACGGTAAGTAATAGTTTTATAACAGCAATTGTAATAATCATCAATAGCTTCCTTAGTTGTAGTGTAATAATATAAGGAAGATATATCTCCTACAAGGAAAAAAAGACAGAAAAGCAGCTAAGAGTATCAGGAGGATTATCATTAGAAGATACTCTATATAGAGTTTTCTGTGTTATATTTTTTCTGTGGACCTGGACACATTGTTGTTAGCATTGGGTATCCTCTCATTGCCAGCTTCTGCTTTTGCCTGCACTGACCTTGAAGTAGTAGCATTTTGTCATATCCCTGAAAAACAGACACATAAAGGAGACTGCAACGGTCATGATTCTCCTATATCAGGGGACAACTTTGGATATAAGTATCAAAACCCTTCATGACTGATTGCCCAACAGAGGCCAAACCAAGCTTTGTTAATATAAAGGTTACCTAAGAGACTCATATGTTATGTTTTTGACCACTTACTAAAAATACAGATCTGATATGTGTGTTCACTCTATAATATTTTTGTCCACAGCCACAATTGTTTACTTTCCATGCCGGCTCTTCTCCCATATAGCCAATAAACTTCCTTTATTGCTTCAAGCAAGTCTGCTCTGTTCGCTGATGGCATACCCAGCTCAGCAAGGCTAAAGCCCTATAGTTAACCAGTCACCTCCTTAAACAGGCAGTTCAGTAACCATCCATCATTATTTGAGCAAACTCCTTCAGGGTCTCTCCTCTCACTAGAAACATTTAGCAAATTATTTGTTCCCTAAAAGCAGGGTACTCTGGCCAGACATGGTAGCTTATGCCTGGAACCCCAGAACTTTGGAAGGCTGAGGCAGGTGAATTACCTGAGGTCAGGAGTTCGAAACCAGCCTGGTCAACATGGCAAAACCCTGTCTCTAAACACACACACACACACACACACACACACACCCAAAATTAGCTGGGCGTGGTCGTGTGCACCTGTCATCCCAGCTACTTGGGAGCCTGAGGTGGGGGAATTGCTAGAACCCAGAAGGCAGAGGTTACAGTGAGCTGTGATAGGGACACTGCACTCAAGCCTGGATGACAGAAAGAGACTCTGTCTCAAAAACAAACAAACAAACAAACAAAAGAAACCAAAAACAAGGTGCTCTATAGGGGGAGATAGGATTCTAGTTCTAAGAGAAGTCTCCATTTCAGATTTTATATAAACATGGCAATTTATAAAAGGGAGAAATCGTACTAAAAAGCTCTAGAGGTACCTTAATTCTTTCAAATTGCAAAGTGTACTCTTAGCTCTATTGATTTCCCTTGACCACAAATTTAAATTAGATTGTAGTCATGCATTTAATACATGGCATTAGCTTGGCAGAGTGAGAAAAGAAGCTACAGTTTTCTATATTTCCTTCTTGGCACAATTGTTACAATACTACTTCAGAAAAACCATTCATTTTTCTATTCTTTTTTCTATTTTACAAAAACTATTGTGAAAATAGTACAATTATTCTTTCTTAGTTCCTTTTTTGAAAGATTCACTGTTCTAAAAATACCATTTATATTTTATTCATTCAGATTTTAATCTGCAAATATATTTTAAATATCTATCAATAACCCAATTCACCCAGCACTAAAATATATAAATTATTATCATTTTATTGAGGATAAAGGAAAGATAAGAATAGAAAAAGGAGATGGGAGCCTGCACTCTCTTGAGCAGATACTGGGCTCAATGCAATTTATACACATAAATACATATATATTTCTAAGAAGAACACTGAAATAAGAAAAAAAAAGGAAAAGAAAAGAAAGAAATCCTTAGTTGTTTGCCCAAGATCACAAATAAAAAATGGGAGAAATTAAATTCAAATCTAGGGTACCAGGCTAACCCTTGTGAGTTAATGGGAGCTCAGTTGCTTGTTAAAGTATATCAGTCTAATAATACCCGCAACTAAGTGATAAAAGAATGCAGAAATCCATGTGTGATGGAGGAGCAGGAGAGAGCTTCATAAGGAAGATGCACATGATATGGACCTTAAAAGACAGATCTAGTTTGAGCTTATGGAAGGAAGAATGGTCTCCTCTCTCAGAGTATGGTGATAAGCCCTCATCAGATTAAAGAAGTTGAGCTCTTCTGCCAGTTGTCTCAAAGGTTGAGGAATTTCAATATCATTTGCCATGGAGCTCAGCATTTCTTGGCTATACTAAATCTAGCAGATGCTAACAGACAGAATTGAATGGCTGTAGCCTTCTAGTTTATGAGAAGACTTATAAAAAATTCTCAAAGTCCACATTTAAAACTAACAGGATTAAGTACATGAAATGCAGTGTAATTATTCTTCATTCAGGTTTGTGTGTGTGTGTGTGTGTGCGCACGCACCCGTGCACGCGCGGGTGCACACGTACAAGTGTATTCTCTTAAGTAAATTTTGGTTGCCATAGTGTTAAATGAAACCCAGCTTTATGGAAAACAGTATGGAGGTTTCTCCAAAAATTAAAATAGAACTACTATATAATACAGCAATCCCACTACTGGGTACATATCCAAAGGAAATAAAATCAGTAAGTCAAAGAGATATCTATATTATCGTGTTCATTGCAGCATTATTTACAACAGCCAAACTATGAAATCAATCTAAGTGTCCATAATAGATCAATGTATAAAGAAAATGAAGTATATATAAACAATAAAATATTATTCGGCCTTTAAAATTTTGGGAAATCTTATCATTTGGAATAACATAGATGAACCTGGAGGACATTATGTTGAGTAAAATAAGCCAGACACAGAAAGACAAACACCATATGAACTCATTCATATGTGGAACCTAAATAAAGTCAAACTCAGAACCAGAGAGTACACTGGTTCCTACTAGGGACTAAATTGGGGATTGAAGAGATGTTGGTCAAAAGGTACAACATTTCAGTTAGACAGCAGGAATAAGTTCAAAGGATCTATTGTACAACATGGTGAGTATAGTTAATGACAATATATTGTATACTTGAAAACAGCTAATAGAGTAGATTTTAAGTTTTCTCATTACAAAAAAATTGATATGTATGTGAGGTGACACATGTGTTAGCTAGCTTAATTTAGCCTTTCCACAATGTGTACATATTTTTAAAGAGAACATTACACACAACAAATACATATAGATTTTAGTTGTCAATTTAAAAATAAATTTAAAAGTGGATCTTTGACTTAAATGTGAGTATCAAAAATGAATTCAAGCTTCTACTAAAGAACAGCAACAAAAACAAACAATAGACAAGTTTGTGGAAGAGGAGGCAGAGCAAGATGTCCAAATAGAACCCTGTAACAATTGTCCCCCCCACCCTCACCCAATACCAAATTTAATAACTATCCACCAAATTTAATAACTATCCACCAAAGAAAGCACACTCTTAAGAACTAACTAAAAATCAAGTAAGTAATCATAGCACAAGGTTGTAACATTCTAGCAGGAAAAGAGGAATTGAAGAGGGTAGGAAAGACATTCTTATATTGTCAACACCACCCCTCCCTCATCCCATGGCAGTAGCACTCTGATGCAAAGAGAGAATCTGCGTGCTTCAGGGAGGGTGAGCGTGGTGACTGGGGCTTTGAATTGGAACTCAGTGCTGCCTGTCCCAGCAGAAAGAAACTCATGGTGGAAAGAATTCAACTGTCAGACATTTATGGACATGCTCTGGTCTAGGGGGATGGAGTGAGGAGCTTGTTACCCTGATGGGAAGGACAAAGCCTGGCTGGATTTGCCACTTGCTGGATGTAGAGCCTTTGGGCCTTGAGTGAACATCAGCAGTAGTCAGGCAGTGGCCACCACGGGCCTTCAGCAAGACCCAGAGCTGTGCTGACTTCAAGTCTGACCCAGCACAGTGGCCATATGGGTTCTTGTGTCACTTCTCCCCCAGCTCCAGGTAGCTCAGCAGGGAGATAGACCAAAACCAGAAAAAGCCACACCAAAAATAGAAAACTATAGGCCAATATCCCTGATGAACATTGAAGCAAAAATTCTTAACAAAATACTAGCAAACTGAGTTCAACAACACATTACAAAGATCATTCATTATGATCAAGTGGATTTATCCCAGGGATGCAAGGATAGTTCAAAATATGCAAATTAATTAATGTGATGCATCATATCAACAGAATGAAGAAAAAACCCATATGATCATTTAAATTGATGCACAAAAATCATTTGATAAAAATCTACATCTCTTCATGATAAAAACCCTCAAAAAAAACTGGATGTAGATGGTACATATCTCAACACAATAGTGATATAGGACAAAACTACAGCTAATGTCATAGTGAATGGAGAAAAACATAAAGCTTTTTCTCTAAGATTTGGAACAAGTCAAGAATACCTACTTTTACCACTGTTACTCAACATAGTACTGGAAGTCCTAGACAGAGCAAACTGACAAGAAAAATAAATAAAGGGCATACAAATTGGAAAAGAAAAAGTCAAATTATCTTTGTTTGCAGATGATATAATCTTATATTTGAAAAATCCTAAAAACCCTGCCAAAAAACTAATAGAACTGATAAACAAATTCAGTAAAATGGCAGGATATTAAAATAAACATGCAAAAATCAGTAGTGTTTCTATATGACAACAATGAACAATCTAAAGAAGAAATCAACAAAGCAATCGTATTTATGATAGCTACAAATAAAATAAAATACCTAGGAATAAACTTAATCAAAGTGAAAAATCACTACAATGAAAACTATAAAACATTGGTGCAAGAAATTGAAGAGGACACACAAAAAATGGAAAGGTATTCCATGTACATGGATTCAAAGAATAAATGTTGTTAAAATGTCCATACTACCCAAAGCAATCTACAGATTCAATGCAATACCACTTAAAATCCCAATGACATTCTTCACAGAAATGAAAACAAAAAATCTTAAAATGTATACAGAGCACGAAAGACCTGGAAGAGCCAACACATCCTGAGCAAAAAGAATACAACTGTAGGAATCACATTACCTAACTTCAAATTACATTACAGAGCTATAGTAACCAAATCAGCATGACATTGGCATAAAAATAGACACATAGACCAATGAAACAGAATAGAGAACCCAGAAGCAAATCCATACATTTACAGTGAACTTGTTTTCCACAAAGGTGTCAAGAACATACATTGGGAAAGGACAGTCTCTTTAATAAATGATGCTGGGAAAACTAGATATTCATATGCAGAAGAACCAAACTAGACCATATCTCTCACCATACATAAAAGTTGACACAAAATGGATTAAAGACTTAGGTTTAAGACCTGAAACTATGAAATTAATAAAAGAAAATTTTAGAGAAACACTCGAGGACATTGATCTGGGAAAAGAGTTCTTGAATAATCCTCATAAGCACAAGCAACCAAAGCAAAAATGGACAAATGGGATCACATCAAGTTAAAAAACTTCTGCACTGCAGGGTAATAATCAACAAAGTGAAGAGATAGCTCATGGAATGGGAGAATATTTTGCAAACTATATATCTAACAAAGGACTACTAATTTGAATATATAAGGAGCTTAAACAACTCCAAAAAATCTAGTAGTCTGATTAGAAATGGGCAAAAGATCTGAGGGGATATTTCTCAAAAGAAGACATACAAATATTGAACAGATATATGAAAAGATGCTCAACATGATAGATCATCAGAGAAATGCAAATCAAAACTACAAAGAGATATCATTTCATCCCAGTTAAAATGGCTTTTATCCAAAAGACAGGCAATAACAGGTGCTGGCAAGGATGTGGAGAAAAGGGAACACTCATACACTTTTGTTGGAAATGTACATTATTCTAGCCACTATGGAGAACAGTGTGGAGGTTCCTCAAGAAACTAAAAGTAGAATTACAGCAATAGATCCAGCAATCCCACTGCTATGTATGTGCCCCAAATAAATCAGAATATTAAAGAGATATCTGCACTCCCATGTTTATTGCAGCACTATTCCCGACTACCAAGATTTGGAAGCAATTTAAATTTTCATCAATAGATTAATGGAAAAAAACACATTTATATACACACAATGTCATAGTATTCAGCCATAAAAAAGAATGAGATCCTGTCTTTGCAACAACATGGATTGAACTGGAGGACATTATGTTAAGTGAAATAAGCCAGACACGGAAAGATAAACTTCACATGTTCTCATTCATTTGTGGGAGATAAAAGTTAAAATGATTGTACTCATGGAGATAGTAGAATGATGGTTACCAGAGGCTGGGAAGGGTAATGGAGTGGGAGAGTGGGGACAGTTAATAGGTACAAAAACAGAATGAATAAGATCTAGTATTTGATAGCACAAGAGGGTGATTGTAGCCAACAGTAATTTAAATACATTTAAATTTAATATATATAGTGCATTTAAAAATATAATAACAAACAATATAATTGGAATGTAACAGAAAGAGTAAATGCTTGAGGTGATGGATACCCTATTTACCCTAATATAATTGTTACACATTAATGCCTGTATCAAAATATCCACTGTACCCCATAACTATATACACTTACATACCCATAAAAATTAAATATTAAAAATCAAATGAATTTAAAAATAAAACATAAGGTTACCTTTGGAAAAAGATTTTCATAAAATATTTATTTTGGATTGTTGCTAAGCATAGTCTAATAGTAAATTAAAAATATATACATATATATGTATATATACACACCTTTACCAATAAGACTTGTCATTCTTTACCCAGCACCTCTCTCTCTCTCCCCTGCCTCCATCTCTCTTTTCCACACAAAAAACAATTCTGTTAAAAGCCAGAAGCCTTGCAGTAATTGCTTTCTTGGGATCTGAAATTAGTGTACCTCTCCCTATTTATTTAGCTGTTTGAAAACGATGAGAGATTTCTTAACACAACCAAAGAAGATTCAAATCTCACAATCTATAGCCTAGAAAGGTGTTGCCATGAATGCAAAACATTTGGAAAAGTTGATGGGCTAAGTTTTATAACCTCTAGTGAACCAGCTCTTCTGAAGGCAGGGCCAATGTAGTATTTTCAATGTCTCCAACCCTTCAAAATTGCCTTTCTCTCAGCAAGACTCCTAGGTTCAGGGAGGCTGAGAAGGCTACATTTTGAAAACACATTGTTCAAAACTCTGTTTTAGAAAAAAATATTGATGCTTTTCTATTAACCCTGGAATGAAATAGAGAAGAGTTTGACTCAATAATGACAGTGTATTTATGTTTCCAAGAAAACAGTCCCATTTTAATTGGCTAAGGGAGCCACCACTCAATCCTCCTGCTCTGTGGGATTGTAAAATTAGGTGAGCATATAATTAAGGACGAAAATCCAAATGTAAAACAGAGTTACTTTATTAATCTGGACGAGTACTGTCTGTCTCACTCATTGCAGGGCTTCTGATAATGGTGATGAAGATGGTTTAATCTTGAAGTTGAAATGAGACTTCCTTCTCCATTCACCTCCCGAATTTTAAACAGTTACTTCTCAAGATTTAGTTGTGTATCATTGCATTTTGATTAATTGGCTTAATTGAGGATTATCAATTGTTTTATACCATTGCTTTCCTAATCTTGAATTTTTAAATTCATTTTTAGACATTTCTGCGTGTGCGTGTTTCCATGTGTGTGTGCATGTGTGTGTGCATTTCCATCACAAAGTATTTGTTAAAGATACTGTTTTTTTCTGGTTTGTTTTCCCCCAGGATTTCTGAAAACACACACACATGCACATTTGCATATAGTTGACAATTTATATCAATATAGACTTCTTGGGTTATTTATAGTTCTTTTTTCTCAAGACTGTCAATATCATTGCATTGCCTTCTGGTGTTTCATGCTGTATATGAAAAGGCTAAGAGAGCTTTTTCTTCTACATAGATAACTTTTTTTATTTCTCAAAATCTTGTTAAATTTTCCTTATTCTTGGATTTAAAATAAAATTAAAACAACATACCTAGCTTTGATTATTTTTTTCACGTGTGTGAGCCTTTTTGATCTGCATATTTAAATCTTCCTATCAGGGAAATTTTAAGTGTGCTCTGTGATTTCAGTAACTATTCCTTCCCCCCAGCCCCCCATCAAACCCCATCAAATCTTCATACAGAGAAACTAGAATTCCGGTATCTATTAATGTCTTCCAACTACTGTATTATAACACTTTATTTTTATCTTCTGAGATCTCAGTGAATATATCAATTTTGTCTTCTATATTTACTTGGATTTCTCTTCTTGATTTTTAGTTTAGTAATTATGTTATTCATCAAATGTATTTTTCAATTATAGATTTCATGCACTTCACCTCTGCTTACTTTAATTTCATAAATCAGACATGAATCATCCCCTTTTGTTCTTACACAAACTATTTTTCAGGTACAAAGTTTTACCTGATTATTTGGGATATTTCTCTTTTTGTGGGCTGTAATACATATTTTGCTTATGTCCTGTGCTTTCCTTTGTACTTTAATTTGACAGAGAGCTCCACTCAATAACATTGATTTGATGGTAGACAGTGGCTATTGGAGCCCATTTGGAACAGGTTTTCTTCTTCTTGCAGTATCTGTTTTGAAACAAAACACTGTCATTTCATTCATTCATTCATTCATTCATTCACTTATTCGATAAAAATTACATTCCTACTAGGGCCCAGACACACCCAGTGGAAATATAATGGAGACCCAACTAGGCGACCTGCCCCATAAAAAAGAAGAAATCCAAGGGACCTACACATTTCAGGGAATAATACTTAAGTTATTATTAGCACTGAAAGTTCTCCCCATGCCAACCTGTGGTAGTCTTTACAGAAGTAAAGTAGAGGGAGCAAGAGGTCAGCCACCCTCTCTACCTGTACAATAGGGTGTAGTCTTACATCCTGCCAATATTTTCATTGTTAACATGGCCTTTTACCATTTCTTTCTGAAGCCTGATGCTTGACAGAGACTTCTCTGAAATCAATGTGCATTGAAACGTAGAAGTGGGAGAGAAGGAGCAGAGTGATTTACGTTACGAGTTATAGTATTGTGTCTACAAGAGGCTATGTGTAAGACACAGTTTCTTTGTCTTCTGAAAGCTGCTGACACAATAAACTACCTAGTAAGCTAACTGTGCTTCTAAGAAGTCATCTCGTCATTTATCCAGCTAAATGAAACATCAGTAGCAGAAACCTTAGGATCCTAGTGATGTCAGAGAAGAATAGTTAAGGTAACATCAATTTATCTTGCCTCCAATCAAGTGAAAAAACTTTGGGTTTTTAAAGAACTTAACGCAACTACCGCTGCAAATAATATCTATTGCTGCTAAATCTTCAGATTCAAGTTTTACAATCATTTTCTGGGTGCTTCTTATAGGCTTTCACATTGACTTTCTTAACTTTTATAAAAATTGTGTAAGGTAATGTCAAATTTCTCCTTGATACAGGCGAGAAATCTAAGAAAAGTGAATTTGTGATGTTGGCCTAGGATTGGCGTGTAATTCTCCTAATGTAAACCCGTCAACAAGCCCAACTCAAAAGAAGCAACAATAATATTAAACATATACATATTGTTGAATTAAATTGTATATACACTTTACAAAATGCATTTGTAAACTTTCTTGCTATTCCAGATCATCATAATCTTCCACATCCTTCATGTTTTGGCAATAATTGATACTTTAAAGGAAGATTTCAAATATATTGGCTCATTTAAACATCAAAATTACCCATGATGAAAAGCAAAGCCGGGACAATACCGAAGTACAGAGAAACAAGCTAAGGTTTAGAAAATTGAAATGTCTGACCCTAAGTTTCTTCAAATATCTAGGGTCAGAGTTCTCTCTTGCACCTGTCATTACAAATATTATCAACTGCCACAAATTTGTTTCATATTATTCACCAGCAGTTAATATCTGGTAATGTTTCATTGTTACTGGACCTCAGAAACTTTTATGATGTAGCCTGGACTGTGTTTAAATGTAAAAATTGAAAAATATTGAGAGGTGAAGCCAGCTGGACTTCCTGGGTCCAGTGGGGACTTGGAGAAGTTTTCTGACTTACAAGAGGGTTGTAAAATGCACCAGTCAGCACTCTGTAGCTAGGATTGTAAAACGCACCAATCAGCGCTCTGTGGCTAGTTAGAGGTTTGTAAAATGGATGAATCAGTGCTGTGTAAAATGGACCAATCAGCACTCTGTAAAATGGACCAATCAGCAGGATGTGGGCAGGGACAAATAAGGGAATAAAAGCTGGACACCCCAGCCAGCAGGGGCAACCTGCGGGTCTCCTTCCACGCTGTGGAAGATTTGTTCTTTTGCTCTTCACAATAAATCTTGCTGCTGCTCATTCTTTGGGTCCACAACACCTTTAAGAGCTGTAACGCTCACTGCGAAGGTCTGCAACTTCCTTCTTGAAGTAAGAGAGACCACAAAACCACCGGAAAGAAGAAACTCCGGACACACCATCCTTAAGAGCTGTAACACTCACAGTGAAGATCACCGGCTTCATTCTTGAAGTCAGCACGACCACGAACCCACCGGAAGGAAGAAACTCTGGACACAATATCATATATATGGAACAGGCAAGAAGCAGTTAAGCCATGTGCTGAGTGATTCTGGGAGAACCAATAATAACTACAGAAACAAAATGGTTGTGGTCTGGGTGGACTGAGAAAGGAAAACTCACTTTTTCATATTAAGGTAAGACTTTATCTATTTTGAAACGATGACAGTAGGATCTTAGTGAGGATCCAGGCAGCATTGTTAATAGACAATTTGATTTTTGCCACAAAGAGCGAAGCAAGTGGGAGCCATATAGTTTGGGGCCACTTAATTCTGTTGTTTCATGAAATAAGTAGAGGAAATTCTGACCTAATAAATGTGTCTCAGAGCTTTCTGATGCATGCAGAACCATCCTGGAGCTCTGAAAATTTGCCAAATTACAACACTGGCTGGAACTAAGGAATAATAGAACATGAAAACTTGGAATTGGAAATGAATTTGAAATGTATTCATTCCAGCTCTCTGATATCCCTAAAATATGATTGTCCAGCCTCTGCTTTAAGTCATTCTGATGAGAAGAAACTCATTGAGCCCTGAGGTGGTTTATTACAGTGTCAGATAATGTTTTTTCTTAAAAATTCACCTGTTTGTAATTTGAATCCATGATTCACAATTAACCCTCAAGAGTTTCATTGAATAAGTATATTCAATTTTTATTCATCAAGAACTTCAAGCATTTAGAGATATCTATCTTGTATCTTCCCAGGTCTTTTCTTTTTCAAGCTAAATATCTGTCATTTAATCAACTTTCTCTTAAAACACATAGTTTTTATTCCCATGTTCTAAGTCCTTTTCATTTTTTGTCTTTTAATTTGTTAACACTTTATTTAAAATCCTACCTGTGTTCTGGTCAGTTTATGACTATGAGACCAACCCAGGAGAAGGCTTTTCAGGTAGTTGTTAACTCTGTCAGCAGTAATGAGTATGGCTCATTTACCCAATGAATTCATTTAGACATCACAAAGGTTGTTCCACTTGCAGTCTATAAGCATTTATTAATTACTTGTTTTCTGCCTATTTCAGTATTTCACCCAGAAAATAGAAATGCTTTGTGTTTCATTCCCTCCTTTCTCTTTCACCTACTTCTTACCCTTGTTGATATCTGCTCTCTGAAAATACTCCTCCTGATGCGTAAAATTACCGTGATGGTAACTGAGGAAAATTAACCCCCCATTTCCACCTATTGGTTTGCTTCTCTCACATGTACTTTGTCTTATTCGCACTCCTCTCTCTTTCAATGTCACAGTCATTATGACATTGTGCTTAGCCCTCTTACAAAATTTCAGGAATAAAATAGATCATTCAGCCAAGAAATACTATTCATTGTCTACTATGAACAAGACATTAAACTGGGTACTGGAAATCAATGGAATAAATAAGACAGCTAATAAGAGACTTCAAACTCTGAATTTTTAATTAATATATCAAAAAAGTAGTTTCGGGGCTTATAAATTAAACCTCATAAAACATCATTAATTTAATATTGTAGTCTTAATTTTACACATGAAGAATCTGATGTTTAAAGTTGTTAGGAAACTTGTCTATACCAAGAGAGGTGATACGTGGAGGGTATATAAGGTTATCTGATGCCAAAGTCTACTACCTCTCAACCAAAATATAATATTAGGTTGGTGCAAGAGTAATTGCGGTTTTGCCATTAAAGTGGTGGCAAAAGCCTCAGTTACTTTCACACCAACCTAATAAATAAGTCACATTATTTTAGGGTATCATTTCAGCAGTCATTGTTATTTCTCCCATTTAATCTTGTCAGTTTTAAATCTTCAATTATTTGAGCCTATTTAAGGCAAAAACTCATCTTATTTTAGGAAAATGTAGTGTATTCTGCCAAGAGGTGGCAGTCTCATTCATTACACATTTAACTAGCCAAGGGCAGGGATATTTGTTAGTGTTCCAGATAGTCAGGCACCTCTGATTTGAAGTTGTTTGGAAGAGATTTGGAATTTCATTGAACAAATAATGTACCACTTAATAAAGCATTAGTGATCATCATAGTCACCCTGAACAAGCACAACTGAGTGGAATACAATAGCAATTTTAAAACTCCATAAAAAGCAGAAACAAAAACAACTATGTTTCATCTCTAAAGCTAACATACTGAAGGAATTGATTTAGCAATTCTTGTCTTACCTGTAAAGCTTTAGATATATTTAAACAACCAAGCAAATTCCTATTAGGGAACAATCTAGGGGACATACAGTATGACTCTTCATTTTCTTGTGAGAACTCCCATGTATATGGGAAGTTTCTCCTCTGCCCTCTTAGGGTCTCCAGCTGGGCCTAAGACTTAAACTGAAATAATTCGGATGAACATGAGAAAAGTATACAAGTTTTATTAGGATAGTGCATATACATGGGAGTCCTCACAAGAAAATGAAGACCCAGAGAAGTGACCACAGCAGAAAGCTTATGTGCCTTTTAGAAAAATAATTGATAAATATGTGAAGAAATGGCATGAAGAAGGGGTTTGGGCTAGGGGCAAAAAAATTGTGGGTGAGTCATTAAGAGATGGATGCAGAAAACTAACGGAAAATATGGCTATCTCAGGAAATGTGTACAGATTCATTTTAGCATCCATTCCCATCTCTGATGATAAAGATGGGTTTCTCTCTCCTTGGTACTAGGAGGGAACCTTTCTCTTGGGATATGTTATGGCCTGTTTTTAAGTAGAAAAGGCCATACTGCACACAACAATGTCATGCAGTGTATTTTTTTAAGTTGGATTCTCTAAAATAACTGCAAGGTAAATGCTGAAATTGTTCAAATGGTGGGAAGGTAGTGATTCAAGCAGCACTAAAGAAGCTACTAGCAGCCTGGGAGGGATGCTGTAGGAACTCACTTCCAGAGTCATTTAGAAACAAACTATTGAGGAAACAATTAACTTCTCTTGGAAGAATTAAAAGAAAAAGAAAAAAAAGAAAACCTTCATTATTTACTAGTAGAAAACACTCCTGAGTTAGTTCTTGGAGAGATCATGCCTCCAACAAATTAGCCATTTACATAAGCAAGAGTACTGTAGGATTTGGCTCTCTAATTTATCTAAGTTTCTCAAGAGATTTTGGGTTGCTTTGTTTATTGTAGTAATAGTGTTAAAAAAAAACTTTTATTTTTTTTAAAAAAGAGGGTATAATCATATAGATACAAAATGACCACATGTCAACAGTTGTATTCAACTCAGTCAAGAAGAAAACCAATAAGATGTTTCCTTAGATTCTCAAAGGAAGACTAAAGGGAAGGTGACTGTAGGAATGCTACCTCAGGAATGCTGAAGTAATTTGCTAAATAGATGCGAAACTGGCAAAACTGGTCAGTCTCCACAGAGCAGTAATCAATTGCACACTATTTTCATTGTTATAAAATTGACTTTTTATATAATTATTAGTTTTCTATAATTTATAGGGTTATAAAATAGTTCAAAAACACTGAAAAGCAAGGATAACCTGGAGACAGTACTAGACAGAACACTCAGTAATCTTTTTGGTCCATTTTGAAGCCCTTCACATTTTTTTCCTATACTAGAGTCTTGTTTTAATTGAACTTTATAGTATTATGAAAACATTCTAATGTATATGTGAGCTTTTAAAAAAATAATGTATCTCATGTAGGTTTGGCTTCTTCAAAAGCATTTTGATTTCATAGGAAGAAAAGCTTAATGAATCAAGGATTGTCTAGGTGACTTTGCTAGAAGAATTGCATCTAAACATTGATTAATGTGCTAAACATACATTTATTGAGTATAGGTTGTAAATAATGCACTTCCGAGCAGAAACAGAATTAACCTGGGCAAAATAAGTTTATTTTATATTATTTCTTAGCCTGCCAGAGCAGATGCTAGTTACAGCCAAAAGATCTATTGGATTTATTCTCTAGTATTTTAAAGGGTTCCCTGTTTCAGTAATCTCTAAAAGTAGGTCTGAAGGCTATTTCATACTGCTTGACACTCCAACAAGGTAGCTAACATCCATCCTCTGCCTAATTCCTTGGTACTCATGAGCCAAGCACTCATTTGAAATACTTCTCTCATGTTAAAGAGGCTCTCTAATAACAAGGAAATTGTTTGAGCCAAAAACTTTTTAAAAATCACACATTAGTATGAAACAAGACTCACAAAGCTTCCCAGCAGCCTTAGGGGGCTGACAGAATATAATGTGTCTTCTGTCCTCCATCAAAACTTTCAGGACACCTAACCTGGAGCCCTTTCTTTATCCTACATTGTCAGTGTTGCAGAGTTCCAGTACTGTGCCCTCTGGGAAACAGTTTCTCCGCTGGTGTAGAAGTTTAGGACATGCCATCCCAAAATATGCCACTTTGCTATATTGATTATGTTGAGCTGAAGGCACATGAGAAACAGCAGATGCAGGAAGGGCCTTTTGACCTCCCCTTTCTACTTAAAAACAGGCCATAACACATCCCGTGAGAAAAGTGCCTTCCTAGTACCAGGGAGAGAGAAACATCCTTATCATCA
Organism: Homo sapiens; assembly: GCF_000001405.40. Classification (NCBI taxonomy): domain Eukaryota; kingdom Metazoa; phylum Chordata; class Mammalia; order Primates; family Hominidae; genus Homo; species Homo sapiens. The sequence goes on from NC_000005.10 coordinate 162,273,811, forward strand.
GAGATTAAAATGGATGCTGAAATGAATCTGTACAAATTTCGTGAGAAAGCCATATTTTCCATTAGTTTTCTGCACCTATCTCTTAGTGACTCACCTATATTTTTTTTTGCCCCTAGCCCAAACCCCTTCTTCAAGCCATTTCTTCACAAATTTATCAATCATTTTTCTAAAAGGTATATAAACTTTCTGCTCTTGTCACTTCTCTGGGTCTTCATTTTCTTGTGACTCCCATATACATGCACTATCCTAATAAAACTTGCAAACTTTTCTCATATTCATCTGAATTATTTCAGTTTAAGTCGTAGGCCCGGCTGGAGACCCTAAGAGGGCAGAGGAGAAATTTCCCATCTACATGGGAGTTCTCACAATAAAATGAAGAGTCATACTGTATGTTCCCTAATAGGAATTTGCTTGATTGTTTAAATATATATGAACAGTCTGATTAGACATTCATGAGTATATATTCATTAACTTTTAAAACTGCAGATATTTCTCCCAAATAAAGTTATGTCTGTGCATTTTAGATATGCAATAAATTCATTCATTCAAAAATATTTACTTAGAATCAATTGGTTAGTGTAGACAAATCTGTTCTCAAGAACTCTACAGTCAAATGGAGGAGATAGCTATAGAGCTATAGTTATATTTATTCTGGAATTACTTGTGTTTCAAAATATAGATTCTATTATTAGTCAGGTATGGCAAGGCCAACAGATTAAGAGACAATTGCCGTTGAAATGGTAGTTGGTTTTATTCACAGATTCCAAGAAATAGGCTCACAGGTTTTATTCACAGATCCCAAGAAATAGACTCACACTGAGAGTGGTCACACATGGCAGCACTGGGGTCTATCAGGGGGTGGGGATGAGGGTGGAAAGTGTGGGCAAGAGCCTTAACAGTGATTTCCAGAAGAAGGACCCTGGGAAGGCTGGTAAGTAGATTTAATTGCCATGGGCTCTGGGGCCCAGAGGAGCTATCCCTAATTGTCTGGCACCTGGCCCTGGAATGATTAGCCAAGCAGAGAGTGGGATAGTGGCCCAGAGTGTGAGGGCCCAGTAAGGGAATTTGTTGAAGTGTGAACTCTGGATTGGTTGGTTTGCATTTGAAAAGCTCACTCTTGGTGGAGTTGTTTACTCTCTTTAGGAATTAGGAACTAGAGAAACCACAGGAGGGGCTGGAATAGAAAGGCCCCAAATGTCAAAAGGTCAAAATACAGAAAATAAATAACAAGGTGAATACACTCATACTTAATTTTTTAAACCCTCAGTACCAAAAGTAATGATGAATAAAGGAAATGAGGGGAAATACGACCAACCATGAAACAAACAAAAAGTTCAGAATTGTTTGTACTTCTTTCTAGCTTCTTATAATGGGAATAAGATGGATAAGTTGAGCAAACTGTGAATCCAGGGACATAATCATAATTAATAACAGCAACTATTCAGGGTTTGCTTATCATGACTTGGGCATTATGATTAGTGCTTTTCATGCAGTTATTTGATTTGATTTTTCTGGCAACTCTGACAGCGTTAGGAAAGTGAGGCTTAGAGAGTAAGTAATTTTTTAAAGTTTACATAGCAAGTGAGTAGTAGAAGTGAAATTTATGCTGAGATATTTTCACTCACGTCCATGTGAAGAGACCACCAAACAGGCTTTGTGTGAGCAACATGGCTGTTTATTTCACCTGGGTGCAGGCGGGCTGAGTCCGAAAAGAGAGTCAGCTAAGGGAGATAAGGGTGGGGCCATTTTATAGGATTTGGGTGGATAAAGGAAAATTACTGTCAAAGGGGGTTGTTCTCTGGCGGGCTGGAGTGGGGGGTCACAAGGTGCTCAGCAGGGGAGCTTTTGAGCCAGGATGAGCCAGGAGAAGGAATTTCACAAGACAGTGTCATCAGTTAAGGCAGGAACAGGCCATTTTCACTTCTTTTGTGGTGGAATGTCATCAGTTAAGGCAGGAACTGGCCATCTGGATGTGTACGTGCAGGTCACAGGGGATATGATGGCTTAGCTTGGGCTCAGAGGCCTGACATTCCTGTCTTCTTATGTTAATAAGAAAAATAAAATGAAATAGTGGTAAAGTGTTGAGATGGTGAAAATTTTGGGGGGTGGTATGGAGAGATAATGGGCGATGTTTCCCAGGGCTGCTTTGAGAGGGATTAGGGGCAGCGTGGGAACCTAGAGTGGGAGAGATTAAGCTGAAGGAAGATTTTGTGGTAAGGGGTGATATTGTGGGACTGTTAGAAGAAACATTTGTCATTTAGAATTATTGGTGATGGCCTGGATACAGTTTTGTATGAATTGAAAAACTAAACGGAATAAGAGAAGGAGAAAAACAGGTACTAAAGGTTGAAGAATTGGGAGGACCTAGGACATCTAATTAGAGTGCCTAAGGAAATTCAGCATAGTCCTGTAAGCAAAGATTATTTATTTACTTCAAGAGTTAAGAGTGGCAGTTTGGGGATGGCACCAGGAGATATCAGCTGTGATGGCTTGGAGAAACAGTGTAAACCGGCAGTGTAAACAAAAGCAGGGCATGTATGAGTAGTTGAGAATGGTGAATAGGAGTATGACTAGACAGAAGATAGTAGGGATGACAAGTTTTTTGGGGGCACAGTCTAAGGTGCTCTGGTGTCTGGAATGAGACTGGGGCCTAATAAAAAGGAGCGTCTATACAGGAGCTCAAATGGGCTGTACCCTGTAGCATTCTGAGGACAGGTCTGACTTCTGAGAAGGGAAAGTGGTAAAAGTACTGTCCAGTCCTTTTTAAGTTGGTGGCTGAGCTTGGTGATGTGTGTTTTTAAAAGACCTTTAGTCCGTTCTACTTTTCCTGAAGATGGAGGACTATAAGGGATATAAAGGTTTCACTGAATACTAAGAGCCTGAAAAAGTGCTTGGCTGATTTGACTAATAAAGGCTGGTCTGTTATCAGACTGTATAGAGGTGGGAAGGCTAAACTGAGGAATTATGTCTGACAGAAGGGAAGAAATGACTTCGGTGGCCTTCTCAGACCCTGTAGGAAAGGCCTGTACCTATCCAGCGAAAGTGTCTACCTAGACTAAGAGGTATTTTAGTTATCTGACTCGGGGCATGTTGAGTAAAGCTAATTTGCCAGTCCTGGGTGGGGGCAAATCCTCGAGCTTGATGTGTAGGGAAGGGAGGGGGCCTGAATAATCCCTGAGGAGTAGTAGAATAGCAGATGGAACACTGAGAAGCTATTTCCTTGAGGATAGATTTCCACGATGGAAAGAAAATGAGAGGTTCTAAGAGGCGGGCTAGTGGCTTGTACTATAGCATAGCCTGCCTTTGCTGGTGTGTGGCGATTAGGCCTGGTGGAACTGCCATCAATAAATCAAGCGTGATCAGGGTGAGGAACAGGAAAGAAGGAAATATGGGGAAATGGGGTGAATGTCAGGTGGATCAGAGAGATACAGTCATGGGGGTCAGGTGTGGTATCAGGAATAATGTGGGAGGCCGGATTGAAGTCCGGGCCAGGAAAAATGGTAATTGTGGGACTTAACAAAGAGTGAGTACAGCTGAAGGAGCCAGGGAGCAGAAAGTATATGCATCAGGTGGGAGGAAGAAAATAGATTTTGGAAGTTATGAGAAATATAGAGAGTGAGTTGAGCATAGTTTGTGATTTTGAGGGCCTCTAAAAGTATTAGGGTGGCAGCAGCCACTGCACAGAGACATGATGGCTAGGCTAAAACAGTAAGGTCAAGTTGTTTGAACAGAAAGCCTACAGGGTGCTGTCCTGGCTCTTGTGTAAGAATTCTGACCACACTAACCATGCCTAGGAAGGAAAGGAGTTGTTGGTTTGTAAGGGATTGAGGTTTGGGAGATTAATCGGACACGATCAGCAGGGAGAGCACGTGTGTTTTTATGAGAATTATGCTGAGATAGGTAACAGATAAGGAAGAAATTTGGGCTTGACTGAAGTAATGGGGGCTGTCTGTGGAGCTTTGGGGCAGTACAGCCCAGGTAATTTGCTGAGCCTGATGGGTGTCAGGGTCAGTCCAAGTGAAAGCGAAGAGAGGCTGGGATGATGGGTGCAAAGGAATAGTAAAGCATGTTTGAGATCCAGAACAGAATAATGGATTGTGGAGGGAGGTATTGAGGATAGGAGAGTATATGGGTTTGGCACCATGGGGTGGATAGGCAAAACAATTTGGTTGATAAGGCATAGATCCTGAACTAACTTGTAAGGCTTGTCTGGTTTTAGGACAGGTAAAATGGGGGAATTGTAAGGAGAGTTTATAGGCTTTAAAAGGCCATGCTGTAGCAGGCGAGTGATAACAGGCTTTAATCCTTTCAAAGCATGCTGTGGGATGGGATATTGGCATTGAGTGGGGTAAGGGTGATTAGGTTTTAATGAGATGGTAAGGGGTGCATGATCGGTCGCCAAGGAGGGAGTAGAGGTATCTTATACTTGTGGGTTAAGGTGGGGGGATACAAGAGGAGGACGCAAAGGAGGCTTTGGATTGGGAAGAAGGGCAGCAATGAGATGCAGCTGTAGCCCAGGAATAGTCAGGGAAGCAGATAATTTAGTTAAAGTGTCTCGGCCTAATAAGGGAACTGGGCAGGTGGGGAAACTAAAAAAGAGTGCATAAAAGAGTATTGTCTAAGTTGGCACCAGAGTTGGGGAGTTTTAAGAGGTTTAGAAGCCTGGACGTCAATACCCACAACAGTTATGGAGGCAAGGGAAACAGGCCCTTGAAAAGAAGGTAATGTGGAGTGGGTAGCCTCTGTATTGATTAAGAAGGGGACGGACTTACCCTCCACTGTGAGAGTTACCTGAAGCTCGGAGTTCGTGATGGTCTACGGGGCTTCCAAGGCGATCGGGCAGCGTCAGTCTTCAGCCACTAAGCTGAGAAGGAGTCAGTGAGAGAGGCTTGGGCCAGAGTTCCAGGGGCTCTGGGAGTGGCTGCCAGGTGAGTTGAACAGTCCGATTTCCAGTGGCATCCCGCACAGATGGGGGAATCCTGGGCTGCAGGCATTCCTTGGCCTGGTGGTCAGATTTCTGGCACTTGTAGCAAGCTCCTGGGGGAGGAGGTTCTGGAGGAACGCCTGGCCCCTGCGGTTCAGGCATTTGGAAGTTCTTATGTGCTGGAGATGTGGCTGGGGTTTGTCTCACAGTGGAGGCAAGGAATTGCAACTTTTTTCTATTATTGTACACCTTGAAGGCGAGGTTAATTAAATCCTGTTGTGGGGTTTGAGGGCCGGAATTTAATTTTTGGAGTTTTATTTAATGTAGGGAGCAGATTGGGTAATAAAATGTATATTGAGCATAAGACGGCCTTTTGACCTTTTAGGGTCTAGGGCTGTAAAGTGTCTCAGGGTTGCTGCCAAACGAGCCATGAGCTGGGCTGGATTTTTATATTTGATGAAAAAGAGCCTAAATGGTATCTGATTTGGGATAAAGAAAAAGGAGTGTTAACCTTGACTATGCCTTTAGCTCCAGCCACCTTTTTAAGAGTAAATTGCTGGGCAGGTGGGGGAGGGCTAGTCACGGAACAAAACTGTAAGCCAGACCAGGTGTGAGGAGGGGAGGCGATAAAAAGATTATAGGGTGGAGGAGCGGAGGCTGAGGAAGAATTGGGAACTAGCTCAGCCTGGCGAGGAGCAGCCCGGGGAGGAGGGGAGAGGTCAGATGGGTCTATAGAAAAGGAAGATTAGAAAGACTCAGCAACGCTTGGGGTTGGGACTGAGGGGACAGGCGGGAGAGAAAGAAGGAAGATTTGGGATGAGTTGCATTGGGAACAGAGACTAGAGAGGGACCGATGTGTAAAAGAATGCCTGGACGTCAGGCATCTCAGACCATTTGCCCATTTTACGACAAGAATTATTTAGATCTTGTAGGATGAAAAAATTGAAAGTGCCATTTTCCGGCTATTTGGAACTACTGTCAAGTTTGTATCGGGGTCAAGTGGCATTGCAGAAGAAAATAAGATGCTTAGATTTTAGGTCAGGTGAGAGTTGAAGAGGTTTTAAGTTCTTAAGAACACAGGCTAAGGGAGAAGGAGGAGGAATGGAAGGTGGAAGCTTGCCCATAGTGAAGGAGGCAAGCCCAGAGAAAAGAGTAGAGACACGGAGAAGGGGTGAGGGGTTCTTGCCCTCCAGAAAAGCAGAGAAGGGGTTGGGGTGCAGAAATACGAGGTTGGGGCACAGAAATAAGGGATCGGGGTGCAGAGATAGAGGTTGGGGCACGGAACTAAGGGATTGGGGCGCAGAGATATAAGAGGTTGGGGCACGGAAATAAGGGATCAGGGCGCAGAGATATAAGAGGTCGGGGTGCGGAAATAAGGGATTGGGGCGCAGAGATACGAGGTTGGGGTACTTACCCCTCCCCCAGAAAAGCGGGACTTGCCACTAAGGGTGAAGGAGAAGTGGTTGGGGGTTTCTTGCCCACCAGAAAGGTGGAGAAGGGGTAGAGACATGGAGAGAAGGGGTTGGGGTACTTGCCCCTTCCCCAGAAAAGCAGGACTTGCCACTAAGGGTGAAGGACCAAGGCAGGCATCCCTGCGTGCTCTGACACCTCTGAAACCTGGGTGAAGAATCAGAGAGGCGTCCCCGTAATGATTAAACACCAAGGGAAGGCTGCCTTCCCTAGTCCGTGACCGGCACCAGAGTTTTGGGTCCACAGATAAAATGTGTCTCCTTTGTCTCTACCAGAAAATGAGAGGAATTGAAATTAAAAGAAGGGAGAGATTGAAATGTGGTGCCAAGATTGAAAGGAGAAAGAGGTTGAGGGATAGTGAGGGAGGTTGGAGAACAGAGTAAAAAGAGGCCGCTTACCGGATTTGAAATTGGTGAGATGTTTCTTGGGCTGGTCAGTCTGGGGACCTGAGGTCGTAGGTGGATCTTTCTCACCGAGCAAAGAGCAGGAGGACAGGGGATTGATCTCCCAAGGGAGGTCCCCCGATCCGAGTCACTGCACCAAATTTCATGCGCGTCTGTGTGAAGAGACCACCAAACAGGCTTTGTGTGAGCAACATGGCTGTTTATTTCACCTGGGTGCAGGCGGGCTGAGTCCGAAAAGAGAGTCAGCGAAGGGAGATAAGGGTGGGGCCATTTTATAGGATTTGGGTGGATAAAGGAAAATTACAGTCAAAGGGGGTTGTTCTCTGGAGGGCTGGAGTGGGGGTCACAAGGTGCTCAGCAGGGGAGCTTTTGAGCCAGGATGAGCCAGGAGAAGGAATTTCACAAGACAGTGTCATCAGTTAAGGCAGGAACAGGCCATTTTCACTTCTTTGTGGTGGAATGTCATCAGTTAAGGCAGGAACCAGCCATCTGGATGTGTACCTGCAGGTCACAGGGGATATGATGGCTTAGCTTGGGCTCAGAGGCCTGACAGATATGAAGGACTCTGTAGCTGGAATTGATCATTATTACACACACACACACACACACATACATTACTTATCTATATCTCCACACATGTAGTTGTTTCCGTGTACTACATAGCTATTTTAGTTGAAGAAACAGGAAAGACTTTTAAGCATATTGTTCAAATCATATACAGTAAGACTTTAATTTTCTGATATGGTTTAGAAATGAAGTATGATAATTAGATTATATGGATATTAAAGAGATAATTATAAAAATCTTCCAATAATTATGATTGAAAATCATAATTGTCTTATACTTAAGTTCTGAGGAATCTAATATAATCATTGAAGATTAAATATCTGGGAAGGCCTTAGCATCACGATAATGAATGAGTTGGATCATACTGAAGAAATAAAATAGTGTTTGTTTTTGTAGCTGTGGTTTTTCTCACTTCTTGCTCCTAAAATTGTAATTGTTATATATATATACATATATATAACTATTATATATAACTATTGTGTTATATATGTAATATATATATGCATATATTTCAATGGGGCTTGATGGGGTAGATTTACTAATTCCTGTACCCCTATTTATCATAAGCTGGAAAGTGAAAGGGAGAAACAGACACTCCATCTAAGATTAAAGAGAACACAGAGAAAGGGAGTTTAACATAAAATTATTCCAAGAATAAATAGTGTAATGGATACAGCACTGCCTCTGAGCTCACCCTGATTTGGGGTTGAATTCAAGATGCAAATTCCTAACCGAACTTGTTCCTACAGTGTTAAGCAGTGAAAATTCCTATATCATGGGATGGTCATGAGGGTTAAATAAAATAATGATTGTGAAACTCTTAGTACAGTGTTTATTACATATACATTTTAAGTTTTATTCCCATTTTATGCATGAAATAGCATATATTTAATAATCATTCAATAAACCTTAGTTATGCATAAAATTTGCCTTTAATATGTATTCTTGCCACATACTCCTTAAAATAGCTGTATCTTGGAGAGAAGCTTCACCCTTGGAAATGGAATCTCTCACATACAAATTCCTAGTACTATTGGAACCTAACTTACTCCATTAACTTCAAGGGGGAAAGGGACTCCTCTATAAAGATAAGCAACATCTACAGCACAACCTTCAAGCTTCAGGCTCAACAGGCACCATAGTTCTGAGAAAGAAGGGCGCTGAAGAGAAATGCAGCAAGTGAGAGGGCTTAATTAGCTCTGGTAGAAAATTAGATGCAAATTATCTGCTCCTGCCAACCCAAGGGGCTTGCATTCTCCATTTCTTATCAGATTGTCCCTTGGCTCCAATTTCTTTGGGGAAAGAATCTTGATGCTGATAACATTCTCACACCACAAGGAAGGTTACTGCACAGAATTCCAGAGTTTGGTGCAGAGTTGGCTCAGTTTCCTATTGTGAAGTAAGCAAAGTCTTTTAACTGCCTGAATGTCAGCTGTTCTGCTTCAGTCCTCCTCAGGGATATCCTGACCCCTTCCAATACAATCTCTAACCTCTACACTGACCTTGCCACTAGAGACCCCTTGATTAATTACCAACTCTCAAATAGATGTATATACATGTATATATATGAAAAAATTCCAGGCTTCTCATAGTTTGACATGCTCTGGTGAGAATTCAAATCATAACCACAAAAATCTTGCACACAATGTGAACGCTTCTGGGTTTATGGATTCTCTACTCCCTTGTCTACTTTAGGTCACATTAAAAACATACATAGTAAACTTCATATGCCCATCATATTCTCCCCACCTGTATCTCCTTTTTAAAGATCTGCCTATATACTGCCTGGAAAGAGTAACTTTACATAATAAATTCTCCTATTCTCAGGACATTCTTTTTTTGAGACAGAGTCTCACTCTGTCGCCCAGGCTGGACTGCAGCAGCCTGATCTCGGCTCACTGCAATCTCCGCCTCCTGGGTTCAAGTAATTCTCCTGCCTCAGCCTCTAGAGTAGCTGGGATTACAGGGGCTTGCCACCATGCCTGGCTAATTTTTTTTTTTTAAATTTTTAATAGAGATGTGGTTTCACCATGTTGGCCAGACTGGTCTCGAACCCCTGACCTCAAGTAATCTACCCGCCTCGGTCTCCCAAAGTGTGTTGAGATTATAGGCATGAGCCACCGCACCTGGTCTCTCAGGACATTCTTGATGGAAGCAGGAAGAATCTTCTATGTAGTCAGGGTGATATTTTAAAATACATCGTTGTGAATTTTGCCTTCACATTTCTTTCCATGGACATGATACCCTCCCTGGTGAGCCCAGAGTAGGGTTGAGTTGAGGTTTGGGAATTAAATTGTCATATTAATATTCACAATAGTAAAAAGAGAAATAGTTAATGTTTTTCTTCTGACACTAAAATATGATTTCGCAGCAAAACCAAAAGCTTGGATTCTGAGCAAGAAGATAATTTTCTAGTTCATTTGAGCATATCAAAGAATGAGTAGATATCCAATAAGAGTTTATTTCTTAGTAGAATGAAGATACTCTTTTGTCTATGATTACTGGATTGTGCTGCTATTGAAAGGTAGGAGAAGAATACGAAGGAGAGAAATTCTTGAAGCCCATCCCTTCTGGGCAGTAGGATGACAGGGAGAGTAAACATTGCTAGGCAAGAGTGAAAGAAAAAAGACTCATGGGTTCTAATCTCTAGGCAACAGGCTTTAGTGTGTGAAGAGAATGTGTATTGGATAAGCACAGAGAAATGAGTAAGTCTAGGAAGGATTTACTTTCATCCAGTTTGGGACTCTATATGGCACACTGCAGAATTTAGCAATTCCAGGCAACCATTATTTCAAATGCAGCATAAGCAGTGTCAGAGGAGCTGATTTAAACCCAAAAGAGACTGCAAGACAGCTGGAAAATTTAGGGGCTTGTTTGTTTGTTTGCTCCTTCCCCAGGTGCTCTCTGCTCTCCAAAATATTAAGGTTGTTTTGAGAAAAGAGGAGGAGTTAGGACATTAGGCAGTCCTCCAATAGTGGCTACCATAAAGGAGAAACCCAAGAGGTCTCATCTGGAGACACTGGGTTTTAGGTATCATGGGTTTCCTTATTGCTATGGTTTGAACGTTTTTGTCTGCTCCAAAATTCATATTGAAACTTGATCCCCGATGCAAAAATATTAAGAGGTGGGACTTTAAGAAAGTGATCAGGCCACGAGAGTTCTGCTGTCATGAATAGGATTAGTAACCTTATAAAAGGGCTGGAGGAAACTAGCAAGGTCCCTTTCTGTTTTCCCCAGACACCGAATGCCAATACCTTGATCTTGGACTTCCCAGATTTAGAACTATAAGAAATACATTTTTGTTTTTTATAAATTACCCAATGCTGTGGTTTACTCTTTGTCCCCTGCCAAAACTCACATTGACATTTACTCCCCAATGTGGCAGCATAGAGAGATTGGACCTTTAAGAGGTGATTGGGTCATGGAGGCTCTGGGTGTTAAAACTGGAGGAAGGGAAGAGAATCTGAGTCTTCTTCTCACAAAATCTTGTTATGAGAGGACTGGTCATTATTAATACCTGTCCTGGTATTACTACATCATCCTGGAGGACCAGATGTTTTTGGAATGAGAGAAGACAAATGAAGTCTTGCGTCTACTGTTTCTTAGAGACAGTGTTTCTGATTATAGGCCATAGTTATCTTAAAAAGACCATGTTGATCTTCACAGTCAGCTGAGAATGTAAAAGCATTGGTAGTGATTGCCATGGAGGGATGGCTTTTGAATAGCACAGGTAGGACCTCATGGGATTGAGGAGCAAGTGAAATAACTGAAAATTCGTAACTTCAGAACATTTCAACATGTTTAAGAGCTGAACAAAATTACAAAAAATCCATTTTATTTGCCCATATTTATATTAGTTATATTATTTGTTCAGGGAGTCAGGAAAAGGGAAATTTACAAATTAATGACGAATGTATTTTGTAATTATTCTGGCCAGTGTCTTACCTGAATTGGGCCTTGTTCCAAGACTGATCCTTGTTTTCTTTTTTTTTTTTTTTTTTGAGAAGGAGTCTCGCTCTGTCGCACAGGCTGGAGTTTAGTGGCACCATCTCGGCTCACTGCAAGCTCTGCCTCCCAGTTCACGCCATTCTCCTGCCTTAGCCTCCTGAGTAGCTGGGATTACAGGCACTTGCCACCACACTTGGCTAATTTTTGTATTTTTTTTTTTTTTTTTTTTTTAGTAGAGACAGGGTTTCACCATGTTAGCCAGGATGGTCTCGATCTCCTGACCTCGTGATCCACCCGCCTCGGCCTCCCGAAGTGCTGGGATTACAGGCTTGAGCCACCGCGCCCAGCCCTGTTTTCTTTAAAATATTGTGTACCAAATATTTTACCAGACAGAAGATACTGGTCATGTGAACATTGCTGTCTTCTGGTTGTTCTCTGCCCCTCACAAAGAGGTGGGTGCTTGAGATGCAGTACCAGTGAGTTACAGAGGGACAGTAAGAAGCCACATGTTCTTTGTCCTTTGCACATTTGCGTTGAAGTGTGAAAACCCTGGTATATTTGAGCTAACATGGACTAACCAGATCCTCTCTTTCTCTCTCTTTCTTTCTTTTTTCTTTCTTTCCTTCTTTCCTTCTTTCCTTCCTCCCTTCCTTCCCTTTTTTTTTTTTAAGTGACCTTAAAGATGACCTAATCAGGTACCCTAGTGCACTGGGATAGAAACTAAGAGGGATTCAGGAGATTATTGATTAAGAGAAGTTCTATCTCCTCATCTCAGGGATTGTATTTCTGACTCACTTGTATTTCTTCTGTATCTTCAGCTTCTCTCTCCTCTATTTAACTCTTAACATAAATATCAAATTCTGAAAGAGGAGGTTCCTGACTCTCAAATAGAGGGAATTATCCAGTAACCCATTATAACCTAATCCTGATTTAATAATCTCATTGACACTCTTTTAGCTAAGAAATTTTCTTGTCTGTTCACTTGTTTTACTGTTTCTCCTTGTCTCCTAGAATAGCATCTCCATGAAAAGAGAAACATTATTGCTCATGTACAGTATGGGATCTCCAGGACACATAAGTGTGCTCAACATATAGTAGGCTCTCAGTTAATATTTGTTAAATCTGTTAAAAATGCATGAGCCAAAAGATCATATAGCCTGAGAAATAAAGACATAGGAAGAGGAGTCTGCTTACCTTCCGATTTCCCTGAGGTCAACTTCTTGTAATTCCATTCATTAATATTTCTCTCTGCTCTTAATTTTGTCGGGTGTTCCCCGTCTTCCAATCAAATAATGGATGAGCTAGCAGTTGCCTTTCCTAAACCTCAGTTTCTTTATTTTTAGAAACAGAGAAGACTATCTATTATAACCAGAAGATACCATCTAGAAGGATTAAAATTAAAATGGATAAAATGTATATGTAAGGACATTTTAAACTACATGCTGTACACATTTAAAGACATTTTGACAGAATTACTAGAATTTCGATTCTTGAAGGAACTTTCAAGCCTTTTATTTTACAAAGGAGGAATAATTGATCCAGAGATCTTATATTACCTCACCATGGTTACAGAAGTTGAGTGGTTTCCTGACTCCAGATTCTGTCTTTGGTTCACTATTCCAAACTACCTCCTCCAAGTCTTACCAAGTGTTTTAACCTTAGGAGTGACTTGCTCAAAGCAGTACACCCAGCATGCTGCAAAGTCTTTTGACTCTCTAATTTAGCACTTTTTCATATTACATCTTCCTGCCTCCCATTCTTATTGAACTGTAATGAGATGTATTCTATTTTAATTAGTATGTTAATGTTTAGTGTTGGTGTCAGCCTGACCTTGTATGTGTTTGTCTTTGCTGCTCTGTTTCTATTTAAACTACAAGCTCTTGGGAAGAGACAGAAATGCCAATTTAACCACTCCACTGCCTTGTGATCCTGAAGACTTTAACAAAGACTATTTGGTGATGATAATGATGATAGACTATACATAATAATATTCCCCTTTCTCTCTAGAGGCCTGCATGGTTGCTTTAGTTTGCATTTGGAATTCTCTCATTATGGTTTGAAAAATAGGTACTTTAGGATTCTTCTAAAGGCCCAAAAATGGAAGCAATATTTTCCATCAATAATTTTTCTCACTAAAATTCTGAATTTTCCTCATATTTGCAAAGGAAAACAAATGTGTGAAACCCAGAGATAAAGTGTAGAGTGGAGCTGTCATTTATATGTTTATGTATTTTCCAGAACACTGCTGAGCACAGCAATATAAGTGGTAAATGCAACATTTCTTTTGCAGGAGAGCAGGTGGCACTTGAGGCAGGGAAATTGAAAGGATGTAGGATATGTGAGAAAGAAAAACAACAACAGAAAAATGGAAGCTAAGGAGGCAGCTGGATACAATACCTAACACATTTTTTTAACAAAAATACAGAACTTCTGTAATTGGGTATAAGTTAGAGTTGCCAAGTTCCCATAGGTCGCTTAACAGAATTAGAAATAGGACAGCATAGTGATTAGGTTCTTGAGCCAAACTACATAGATTGGCATTCCAGCGCCAGCACTTCCTTCCTATTGAAAAGTATTGTAATATTAATAAAATAATACATGCAAAACATTTCAAACAGTGTTTTTCCCATAGCAGGCAATCAATAAGGTTGTTATTACTAGTCTATTTATATTTAAGCCTTCATTCTTATGAGCAGAGTGAAGGGGTTGTTCCCAACTTGAAGACAGAGTGATTACAGAATTTGGGAGGTCAAACACTGATCTTGGAGACATCAGTCAATAGTGTGGGAGAATTGGATGCTGAAGCCTCCAAAGTTCTCCATGATAGTAACTGCTTTTCTAAAACTATTCACTTGAATGAGTTAAGACATTACGAAATTACAAATGTGTAATATAGGATTAAGACATAATCACCCATTAACACACAATCATTAATCCATTTATCATATTAGCTACTGATAGCTTAAGGGACCTGAGGGAATTAGAAAAGACAAAATATGAATGTGTATGGCAGACAGTGGCTAGCTGTTTCCCATATCCACTTCCTTTTCTTCCTGGGCACAAATGCCCCAGACTTGCTTCCTGTTAGGTGTAGGCACAGACCTAAGCTCTACTCAATGCAATGCAATGCAATCAGAAGAGATGAAGCCCCTTTCAGGCCCACACCACTCAACGTTTCCCATGTGCTGTCCTTTGTGCTTTCTCCTGAGTGGATAAATGGGCACATGGCTCTTGAAAACCACAAGTTGAAGACAGAAACAACTCATGTCAATTATCTCATCTGGAACATTTGTAAAAACAAGAAGCAAACTCCTACCGTGTTTGAACCATTATTCAGTTTTGGGATTTATTTATAACAAAAACTAGCATTAAGCTAACTCATAAGAAACATATATAGGTTTGTATATGTGTAAAGTTTAGGGCAAGGGGAATGATATATAGGGGTATGATATAAAGGGGAATGATATATAGGGGAATGATATATAGGTTTGTATATGTGTAAAGTTTAGAGCAAGGGGAATGATAGGAGATGAGAAGGAGAAGAATTGGAGCAAACAAAATGTAATTCACTGTGGTGCCATTTTCTAAGTAAAAACCTGAGAAGTTGGAGCACAGTTTACAAGACCGTTGTCATTTCTGACATTATTTGCAAGTTTGGAGTTCCCCCAAACCACTCATAAGTTCAATAATTAGCAAGAAAGCCTTACTGAACTCACTGAAAGCTGTTCACTCATGCTAAAGTGTTATCACAGCTAAACGGTACAGATTAAAATCAGCTAAGAGAAAAGTACCATAGGGCAGAATCCAAGAAAGTCCCAAATGCAGAGAGATCTTCCAGTTGTTCTCTCCTCAGGGAGCCATGGACAGTACTACTTTTCTAGTATTGATGTGTGACAGTGTTGGGGCTCAGCAAAACATACCCCAAATTGAAGCAGCCCTAGAAGCAAATGTTTCTGTCTGAGCTTCTCCTGCCCTCCTGTCTCAGTCACGAGAGACTGAGTCTCTTGTGTCTGAAAACAGTCTCTTGTCTATGGAAAGAAAGACAAGTTAACACTGTTCAAACTCATGAATTCAAGTGTGTTTGATGAGCTTTCCTTTGATAGTCTGTGAAACGGGCACACAAAGTCCCTTTTTGTTTCAAAGTGTTTTGAAGTAAATTACTGTAACTTGACATTGAAACACTGCTAATTAAATGCAGTAAAGAAAACTTTAAAATGCATGTAAGCAAAGGGATAGAGGTTAAAGCCCTCAACTTCTCAAATAACTGTGAAATTGACTGGAGGTAAGTGACAATATTCCTCTCTTAACTGGCCACTTGATTTCATAATTTTCCTCTTCCTGGCTATGCTATCATGGCTTCGCCTTTTGTGTTTCTTTAGTTGATTCCCCTGTCCCAAGATATAGTTGCTGCAGTCAGGGACCTTATTTATAATGATGATTGAGTTAGCTCAGGCAGGAATGCGCCTTATCAACAGATTCTTTCCACAGAAAGTGTAACGATGATTAATGAACTCATTTTCCCATAATTCAGAATTGACTTAGGGTGGCCCCTGTGGTTGTAGGGAGTCCAACACTGTGGTGATTTGTGGTTGCCCAACACCTTTGACTCAGCCAGTCCCTCAGGACTGAGACTTACATGTTCTTCAAATTAGGGAGGCATTGAGTAATTAACAATACATGGCAGATTTTACCATGGGAGGAAACTGGAGGAACTGCTTCTCTCAACCAACATTCCTCAACCAAGTTCCTTATAAAAGGTGGTGGAATAAAAATTCCTAATTATTTTTACCACTATTTAATAATGTTTTAATCTTTAGTTATTTTTACCTCTATCTGATAATTTTTAAACCTAATATTTGCAATATATCTGCTATGTACCAGATAGATGCCAGCAGGTGTTAGATGTGTGTGTGTCATTATACGCTGCTGTGTGATCCAAAGTGATCTAGAAGCAGGAGAATTTTAATCTCGATTACCTAAATAAGACCAAAGATTTGAAAAAATAGATCCCAATATACTAAATTCATATTCAAAAACACTTTAAAAAATCATAGCTTAACTCCTCTGTTTCTCCAAATGAATGTGAAATTATGAAAATACAGATTTTGTTGTTTATGTGAACCAGCTATTTTCTCTAAAAACTTTGTGTACTCACCCAGAACATTTAAATATTTAAGACAGGAAAGGGCAATTTTCAAATTGTTAACACATAAGTGTTACGCAAATAGAAAATAAATATGTGCCAAAGTTTGTTTTTTTTTATTGGTTCTTTTTTTTTTTTTTATTCTACTTTAAGTTTTAGGGTACATGTGCACAATGTGCAGGTTAGTTACATATGTATACACATGACATGCTGGTGTGCTGCACCCACTAACTCGTCACTAGCATTAGGTATATCTCCTAATGCTATCCCTCCCCTCTCCCTCCACCCCACAACAGTCCCCAGAGTGTGATGTTCACCTTCCTGTGTCCATGTGTTCTCATTGTTCAATTCCCACCTATGAGTGAGAATATGTGGTGTTTGGTTTTTTGTTCTTGCGATAGTTTACTGAGAATGATGATTTCCAATTTCATCCATGTCCCTACAAAGGACATGAACTCATCATTTTTTATGGCTGCATAGTATTCCATGGTGTATATGTGCCACATTTTCTTAATCCAGTCTATCATTGTTGGACATTTGGGTTCCAAGTCTTTGCTATTGTGAATAGTGCCACAATAAACATACGTGTGCATGTGTCTTTATAGCAGCATGATTTATAGTCCTTTGGGTATATACCCAGTAATGGGATGGCTGGGTCAAATGGTATTTCTAGCTCTAGATCTCTGAGGAATCGCCACACTGACTTCCACAATGGTTGAACTAGTTTACAGTCCCACCAACAGTGTAAAAGTTTTCCTATTTCTCCACATCCTCTCCAGCACCTGTTGTTTCCTGACTTTTTAATGATTGCCATTCTAACTGGTGTGAGATGGTATCTCATTGTGGTTTTGATTTGCATTTCTCTGATGGCCAGTGATGGTGAGCATTTTTTCTGTGTTTTTTGGCTGCATAAATGTCTTCTTTTGAGAAGTGTCTGTTCATGTCCTTTGCCCACTTGTTGATGGGGTTGTTTGTTTTTTTCTTGTAAATTTGTTTGAGTTCATTGTAGATTCTGGATATTAGCCCTTTGTCAGATGCGTAGGTTGCAAAAATTTTCTCCCATTTTGTGGGTTGCCTGTTCACTCCGATGGTAGTTTCTTTTGCTGTGCAGAAGCTCTTCAGTTTAATTAGATCCCATTTGTCAATTTTGGCTTTTGTTGCCATTGCTTTTGGTGTTTTAGCCATGAAGTCCTTGCCCATGCCTATATCCTGGATGGTAATGCCTAGGTTTTCTTCTAGGGTTTTTATGGTTTTAGGTCTAACGTTTAAGTCTTTAATCCATCTTGAATTGATTTTTCTATAAGGTGTAAGGAAAGGATCCAGTTTCAGCTTTCTACATTTGGCTAGCCAGTTTTCCCAGCACCATTTATTAAATAGGGAATCCTTTCCCCATTGCTTGTTTTTGTCATGTTTGTCAAAGATCAGATATTTGTAGATATGTGGCGTTATTTCTGAGGGCTCTGTTCTGTTCCATTGATCTATATCTCTGTTTTGGTACCAGTACCATGCTGTTTTGGTTACTGTAGCCTTGTAGTATAGTTTGAAGTCAGGTAGCATGATGCCTCCAGCTTTGTTCTTTTGGCTTAGGATTGACTTGGCGATGCGGGCTCTTTTTTGGTTCCATATGAACTTTAAAGTAGTTTTTTCCAGTTCTGTGAAGAAAGTCATTGGTAGCTTGATGGGGATGGCATTGAATCTATAAATTACCTTGGGCAGTAGGGCCATTTTCACGATATTGATTCTACCCATGAGCATGGAATGTTCTTCCATTTGTTTGTATCCTCTTTTATTTCCTTGAGCAGTGGTTTGTAGTTCTCCTTGAAGAGGTCCTTCACATCCCTTGTAAGTTGGATTCCTAGGTATTTTATTATCTTTGTAGCAATTGTGAATGGGAGTTCAGTCATGATTTGGCTCTCTGTTTGTCTGTTATTGGTGTATAAGAATGCTTGTGATTTTTGTACATTGAGTTTGTATCCTGAGATTTTGCTGAAGTTGCTTATCAGCTTAAGGAGATTTTGGGCTGAGACAATGGGGTTTTCTAGATATACAATCATGTCTTCTGCAAACAGGGACAATTTGACTTCCTCTTTTCCTAATTGAATACCCTTTATTTCCTTCTCCTGCCTGATTGCCCTGGCCAGAACTTCCAACACTATGTTGAATAGGAGTGGTGAGAGAGGGCATCCCTGTCTTGTGCCAGTTTTCAAAGGTAATGCTTCCAGTTTTTGCCCATTCGGTATGATATTGGCTGTGGGTTTGTCATAGATAGCTCTTATTATTTTGAGATACGTCCCATCAATACCTAATTTATTGAGAGTTTTTAGCATGAAGGGTTGTTGAATTTTGTCAAAGGCCTTTTCTGCATCTATTGAGATAATCATGTGGTTTTTGTCTTTGGTTCTGTTTATATGCTGGATTACATTTATTGATTTGCGTATATTGAACCAGCCTTATTAGAGTCATTAATGAGAGAATAAGCAACATGCAAGTGATGTTTTGGAAAGGATTTTAGAAATATAGTGTGAAAGAAGTTACATTTTCTGCAACCATCAAATAACTCTCAGATGTGCTTATTAAAAAATAATCTAGCAAAATATTGAAGTCACAAAAATCAACATGTTATTTATTTTCAGTTTTGGATAATTTTCCTATACTTGTTGATTTCTTTTCCATTCCCTACTAATAAAAAGTAAACTAATAATTATTCTCAGCAAACATATATCTCAGATATTTGTAGATTTGCCTCCAGATACTAAAAATACAAATTAGAAGCTCAGGCATATTTGTTAAGGAAAACAAATTAAATTGCTTACAATGTATGAGTTGAAAGAGGGAAAAGTTTAGTTCCTGAAATGATAAATGTCAGGTAGGAGGTGGGACCCAACTGCAGAGGCAGGGCTAGGATAGGACCGAATTGAGGACTAGCTAAAATAAGAATGGAGTGTGGAGCAGAAGTTACTTCCCATAAAACCCACCCACCAGTGGGCCATGTCAGTTTACCATTGCCATGGCAACACCTAGGTGTTACCACCCCTTCCCATGGTGATGACCCTAGGATCCACATGTTACTACCCTTCTCCTAAAAATTTCCACATAAACCACCCTTTAATCTACATGTAATTAAAAGTAGGTAGAAATATGGCTAAAACTGCCCTGAGCTGCTACTCCCAGCACACTGCTCATGGAGTAGCCCTGCTCTGCAGAAGCAGTCACGAAGCTGTAAAACTACAGGTACTGTAACACTGCTGCTTCAACAAAGCTGTTTTCTTCTGTCCTACCACCAGCTCACCCTTGAATTTGAAATTCCTGGGCAAGGCCAACAACCCTCAAAGGCTAAGTCCTACTTTGGGGTTTCCTGCCCTGTACCAAATGTAGTTGGTATTTCTAAAGAAACATAACCATCAGGTACATTGGCAATAATGAGAAATTGCACATAATAATTTTACCATAAATAACTTCTTAAGATCCTCAGGGTTATTTTCCCCCAAGTGTAAATTTTTTTTTTTTTTTTTTTGGGGACAGAGTCTCACTCTGTCGCCCAGACTAGAGTGCAGTGGCGCGATCTTGGCTCACTGCAACCTCCGCCTGCTGGTTTCAAGTGATATTCTCGTGCCTCAGCCTCCTGAGTAGCTTGGATTACAGGCACATGCCACCACACTTGCCTAATTTTTTTGTATTTTTAGTAGAGACGGGGTTTCACCATGTTGGCCAGGCTGAACTTGAACCCTTGACCTCAGGTGATATGCCCACCTTGGCCTCCCAAAGTGCTGGGATTTCAGGCATGAGCCACACCTGGCAGAAAATTTTTTTAAGATATTATTTTCCCCCATCTTTCTATACAGCACTTGAAATGTCACACATCTCCAGAGCACAGAAGGAAGGAAGGAAGGAATGGAGGAAGGGAGGAAGGGATGGAGGGAAGGAGGGACTCAAATCAAACCATCACACTTAATATTTAATTTGGATCCTCATCATCTTGGCATGCTCTTGTTTACTTCCCCAAAGCACCTTTTTCTCACATGATATTTATATTTTGATTAAAAATACAAATTACAGGTGAAATTTCTTATTTCATTAAATGGGAAGTTTTTCCCTCCTTTGAACACTCTCCATCCTCGAAACCCTTGTTTGTCCCTTATCTTTTGGGAGCATCATTGGCACTATTTCTATTATAGTTCACAAGCCACTGCAAATTAACTCCTCTGTTATGCCACCATTCACCAACAGTTTTAGGTTTCAGAGACAAGGATATTACATTATTCTTAGGTAAATATTATGCAGGACCAACTTTGTCTTTTCCTGGTTGGAATCAGTAACATGACTGTTCTAGAAGCACGATGAGTTTTTAACTAAATGCAGGGGCTAAAAAAGCTAAGCACAGAAAGACACTACAAGAAACACAAAATTAGCCTAGGATTTTGTGAGTAAGAACCATGAATTGAGTACATTTGTAGAATGATACATTGGGTGAGTTTGAGCCTGGCTTCATAGTTATTTTCAGGTTCAGTGGAAAATCTTCAAGAGGTGGGCATTCTTTCTTGTGACTCTGAGCCAGCAACTTCATTCTGACATCCTCAACAAGGAAAAAAAATCCACGAACACCTGGAATTACACAAGTGATGTTTCTATAATGCAATGAGTACAATTTATTTGTGATTTGTGGTGTTCCTGTTTAAAGTTCTTAGGAGAGAAATTTTGTAACCGTACTTACTGAAGGCATATTTTGAACTCAAGATTTGTTTTGTAATTATGTTATATACTTACCAGTAAGAATCTGAAGGAATTAAAGTTAGAGGGTGCCAATGATTATGACACTCAGAGAAAGTAAATAAGGGATAACTGTATTAAACATCTAAACCAAGATGTTCCTTGAGAAGGGGCAGTCTTTGAAGCTATCTACTTGAGAAGAAAGGTCTCAGTTTGAAGACAGGAAGATCCCTTATCACGAATCTTGCTAACTGTAAAGTATCAGGTCAATGATATCAAGCACAGTTCTTTGGAGGCTGAATAATTGATTCCACGGCACAGGGTCATAAACGTCCTAGTGCTTAGAGGAGTTGATTCTAATAAAGTCTAATATTAAGCTCCTGTTCCTGGTGGCAAAGACACCAAGACAATTCATAACCTGGTATTAGATATTAACAGCAGAGAAGGTAGCTATTTTAAAAGTCTTAACTGTTATGATTACAGAAAGATATAGTTCAAAGGGGATTGAATAAAAGTGGAAACCTACCTTCATTAAGATATTTAGGGGCTGGAGTAGTGTTTCATTCTTACTAGCCTTGTATACTCAGACCAGAATAGAGTATGAAGTTAGTCAAAAAGTAAAGTAAATTGATTCATAAATTAATAAATTCATTTTGCATTTACTGCTCTCCTCCTGCTCATAGCACTAAGAACTTGGGTCATGGTTCAGCATATAGTAGACTGCAAGTATTAGCTCATATTTACTAAGTGCTTCTTAACTGTTAAATAAAAAGCTAAACAAAATCTTTGCAGATATCATGTCATTTAATTTTCATAAAACTTCAAGTAGTTAACCTATTATCAGGACTCCCATTTTGTAGATGAGTAAATTGGAAGTTAAAGAGTTTAGGTTACAGGTAAGTGGCAGACCCATGACACACACAGGTCTTGGTATTTATTTGTTCTGATACAGAATGACAGACTGGTAGGTTGATTAATTATAAAACTTAAAAGAAATGCCTTATTTCTAGGGTTATTGCCTGAATCAGCTCAGTATCTGCTTATAGGCAAAATGCTCTTGGAATAGCAGGGGAACCTAAAATCTAGGTATGAGTGTTTACTGGTGTTCTTCCTGCTCTGCTTATTCATTCCTTCAATCTCCTATCTAACTTTTAGCAATTCTAGGTTCCAGGTAGCTGGCCATAAAACTGATATTCACTACTCTTGGTTGCTCTATTTAATTTGGCTTCTTTTTATTTATTATATAGATTTATTTTATAAATAATTTGCAAGACACTTTTGTTTTAGTTTAGGTTCAGGGGTACATGGGCAGGTTTGATATATAGGTAAATTTCATGTCACGGGAGCTTGATGTCAAATTATTTCATCACCCAGGTAGTAAGCATAGCACCCAATAGGTAGTTTTTTGATCCTTACCCTCCTCCCACCCTCCACACTCAATAAGCCCTAGTATCTATTGTTCTCTTCTTCGTGTCCATGCGTACTCCATGTTTATCTCCCACTTCTGAGAACATCCAGTATTTCATTTTCTGTTCCTGCATTAGTTCACTTAGGGTAAGGTCTCCAGTTCCATCTGTGTTGCTGCAAAGGACATGATCTTATTCTTTTTTTTTATACCTGCACAGTATTTCATGGTGTATATGGAACACATTTTTTTCTTTTTATATTTTTAAAGCCTGTTAGAGATAAGAGATTTCTTCATGTCAAATATGTTAGGTTTCAAACATTTAGAAAGGTACAGTAAATCTATAATAGGCAAATATATACAAAACAAAGGTTGTAAGTTCAAATACTACAGAATGAACACCCTGGGCACCTTCACTGATTGCTTCACCCCAGGGGCCAGGAGGATCATTATCTACATTTGTTTTATCATTTTATTCACATTTTATTATTTTTATCATTTTCTTCACATTATTTTTAAATTTTTATTTATTTAGCTATTATTTTAGGTTCAGGGGCACCTGTGCACATTTGTTATATAGATAAGTTGCATGTCATGGGGTTTGGTGTATAGATTATTTTCTCATGCAGGTAATAAGCATAGTACCCGATTTGTTTTTGATCCTCACCCTCAAGTAGGCTCCAGTTTGTTGTTCCCTTCTTGGTGTTCATATGTACTCAAACTTTACCTCCCACTTATAAGTGAGAACATGTAGTATTTGGTTCTCTGTTCCTGTGTGAGTTTGCTTAGCATAATGGGCTCCAGCTCCATCCATGTTGCTGCAAAGGACACGATCTTATTCTTTTTTTATGGCTGCATAGTATTCTGTAGTGTGTATGTACCACTTTTTTAACCCAGTCTACTGTTGATAGATATTTAGGTTGATTCCATGTATTTGCTTTTGTGGATAGTGCTGTGATGAACATATGCTTGCATGTGTCTTTAGGGTAAAATTATTTATATTCCTTTGGGTATATACCCAAAAATGGGATTGCTGGGTCACGTGGTAATTCTGTTTTAACTTATTTGAGAAATTGCCATACCGTTTTCCACAATGGATGAACAAATTTACATTTCCACCAGCTGTGACTAAGTGTTTCCTTTTCCTGACAATCTCACCAGCATCTTTTATTTTCTGACTTTTTAATGATAGTCATTCTGATGGTGTGAGATAGTATCTCATTATAGTTTTGATTTGCATTTCTCTAATTATTAGTGATGTTGAGCATTTTTTTTCTATACAAGTTGGCTGTGTGTATGTCCTCCTTTGAAAATTGTCTGTTCGTGTACTTTGCCCACTTTTTAATGAGGTTGTTTGACTTTTGCTTGCAAATTTTTTAAGTTTCTTACAGATTCTGGGCATTAGACCTTTCTTGGATGTATAATTTCAAAATATTTTCTCCCATTCTGTAGGTTGTCTGTTTATTGACAGTTCCTTTTGCTGTGCAGAAGCTGTTTAGGTAAATTAGGTCCTGTTTGTCAATTGTTCTTTCTGTTGCAATTGCTTTTGGCATTTTTATCCTGAAATCTTTGCCAGGTCCTATGATCAGAATTCTATTTTCTAGATTATGTTCCATGGTTTTTATAGTTTTAGGTCTTACATTTAAGTCTTAATCCATCTTGTGTTGATTTTTATTTATGGTGTAAGAAAGGGTTCTCCCACTATTATTGTGTGGTTATCTAAGTCTCTTCATAGGTCTCTAAGAGCTTGTTTTATGAATCTGGGTGCTCCTGTGTTGGGTGCATATATACTTAGAATAGTTAAGTCCTCTTGCTGAACGGAACCCTTGTCCATCAGATAATGCCCTGTTTTGTCTTTTAAAAAGTCATTGTTGGTTTTCAATCAGTTTTGTCTGGAATTAGAATAGTAACCCTTGCTTTTTTGTTTTTCATTTGTTTAGATTTTTCTCCATCCCTTTACTTTTCACCTACAGGTGTCATTGCATGTGAGATGGGTCTCTTGAAGACAGTGTACAGTTCAGTCTTGGTTTTTTATCCAGCTTGCCGCTCTGCGCCTTTTAATTGGGGCATATAGCCCGTTTGCATTCAACATTAACATTGATATGTGTGGATTTGATCCTATCCTTATGTTGTTAGCTTGATTGTATAGTTGTTTTATAGCGTCACTGGTTTATGCACTTAAGTGTGTTTTTGTGGTGGCCAATAACTCTTTTATTTCCATATTTAGCACTCCTTAAGTACCTTTTATAAAGCAAGTTTGGTGGTAATAAATTCCCTTAGCATTTACTTGTCTGAAAAGGATCTTATTTCTCCTTCACTTATGAAACTTAGTTTAGCTGGATATGAAATTCTTGGTTGTAATTTCTTTTCTTTAAGAATGCTTAGTATAGGCTTCAAGTTTCTTCTGGCTTATAGAGTTTCCAGCTGAAAGATCTGGGGTTTCCTTTGTAGGTGACCTGCTCCTTCTCTCTAGCTGACTTAAAATTGACCTTGGAGAATCTGATGACTATGTTTCTTGGGAATGGTCATGCTATGGGTTCTCAGAGGTTCTCTTCATTTCCTGAATTTAAGTGTTGACTCTCTAGTGAGGTTGGAGAAATTTTCATGGACTGCATCCTCAAATGTGTTTTCCAAGTCACTTGCTTTCTCTCTCTCTTTTTCAAGGACACCAGCAAGTCATACATATGGTCTCTTTATGTAATCCCATGTTTCTCAAAGATTTTGTTTATTTTTTCTTATTACATTTTCTCTGTTTTTGTCTGACTGAGTTGATTTGAGGAACTGGTCTTCAGGTTCTGAGATTCTTTCCTCAGCTTGGTCTATTCTGTTGTTAATACTTATGACTTTATTCTGAAATTCTTGTAGTGAGCTTTTCAGCTCTATCAGATCATTTTGGTTCTTTCTTAAAATGGTTATTTCATCTTTCAGCTCCTGTATCATTTTACTGGATTCCTTAGATTCCATGGATTGATTTTCAACTTTCTCCTTTCAATTATCTTTGATCTTATCTAGATTCTGAATTCTACACCTATCATTTCAGCCATTTCATCCTGGTTAAGGATCATTGCGGGAGAACTAGTGTGATCATTTGGAGGTAAGAAGACACTGTGGCTTTTCAAGTTGCCAGAGTTATTGCACTGGTTTTTTCTCACCTGTGTGGGCTGATGTTCCTCTAATCTTTGAAGTTTCTGTCCTTTGGATGTAGTTTTTTGCTTTTATGTTCTTTGATGCCCTTGAGAGTTTGATTGTGGCATAAGATGTGTTCAGTAAATGGGCTTGCTTTCTGGAATTTTTTAAGGAGCCAAGCCTCAACTCAGTACTCCTGGGTTATGTGTTCCAGCCCTGGGGGGCTGGTATCGGGCCTCTGGTATTGTTCTCTGGATCCTCAAGGTTAGGAACCTTGAGGGGCCAAGGTGTTTCTAGTCTGCTGGTAACAACACTCTGATGGGGGGTGCCAGCCAAAGCACTTCAGTGGGTTTGTGGCAGCAGGATAGGTGCTCAATTGCATGTGCCAGCAGCAACAGCTATTTGTTGGGGTCCCTGCATGTTAGTGGGGTTGGGGTGCCAGCAGAGTCAGGGCAGCAGTGTCTGTGCATGCCCTCACACCAATGGTGGTGGGGTGGTGGGGTGCACACTTGTGCATACCAGAAGGAGAGAGGAGGCAAAGCCCACTCGTGTGCATGCCAGCAAAGCTGTAGCAGGGAGGCCATGGGTAAGTGAGTGCTGCCAAAGCAGTGTGGGGACTCTGCGGTGGGGGAGGCTGTGGATGGGTGGGCACACATCAACAGATGTTGATCTGCTGGAGCTCTCCAATAGTTAGGCATGTCCTCCTGGCAAAGGAGCTATGATAATGGTCCTCAGGAAGCACCATGGTTGGGCTTCCAAGGCTGTGCTGCAAGCAAGTGCAGCCAGAATGGGGCCTGAGGAGTGCTCAGCAGACGGGGGGGCACTAAGATTGAACTGCTCCTGTGTCATGGGGAAGGCCTGCTTTGTCCAGGACTGACAGTCAACAAAAGACAAACACATCTAGAGGACTGTGGTAAACTTTGAGGGATGAGCATTCAAGGTCAGTCTCCACTGTAGCCTTTCCCACACCAAACCCTCTGGTCTCTCACAAGTTAGAGTCCTGCCCCTGCTACTCTCCAAGCTGCTCTCTCTGCCACCCCAAGTGTCTGTATGGATTGTGGGGTTTCCTGCAGCTAGGATTCTGGAGGTCTGTGTTGAAAGCAGGCCACTTCTTGCCTGTTGAACTTACCCCTACCCCAGGAGCCACTGGGGGCTAGTCCCTGTGCATGGTAGCCATGTGCAGGGCTCGCAGCTTCCTCCCACTTCAGCCCAGTGTCTAAATCCTCCCCCATCTACTCTCAATGGCTTCCTGCAAGGATCTTCTTGGAATATACCAAGCTTCCTGATGTGCTTCTCTCTCAGTGGGAGACGTTCTTCCTGGATGCATATTGTTGGCCATCTTGGCTCCAAATACTTTGCATAATTCTTAAAAGACACTTTTTGTCAAAACAAAAACAGTGTGCCCCAAACATTAAGTATGTTATATTATACATATTTCTTTTTCTTATATTTATTCACTCACCTTTGACAAATTTCAGGAACATTCTATTTGTAAATTCTCACATAAAAGCACATTTACCCTCAGTTATCAATCTGTTTTTTATTGTAAATTGACTCCATGTTTGCTAAAATGTTACAAATTTCCCAGTTCATATTAAACAGTACTGTTTTATTACAGTACATATATTTTTATTAAGAATATTTTAATAATACTAGCAAAAAAAGAATAAAAGTAATTGCATCTTCTAGCAAACATCTTAATTTTAATTTGTATTTCTAATATATCTTATTCCATTCCTTTTCCACTTTATAAAAAAGCTTTCTTCTTTAACCAAAATTGCACAGTCTAAGATATTTGTAATAGTTATTATTTTAATGGCATATAACATTATTATGATTCAACTTGTAATTTTAACCTTAACAAAATCACACTATCCTAAAAAAAATGACATTTAATATGATTTTAACTTGATCTCTATTTTCAGAATCATCAAGATGCCAGTTTACAACAAAACTTTTATAAGTCATACCTCATAATTTGTTCTTATAGTCTAGAAATGTGAACAGTTTGTAATGCTCAGTGGAGCTATAGTTGGTAAGTTGCCACCTGGCAAAAGATACAAGACTAGACACAGAACATAAAATTTAGAGTAATAAAGCTGCTGCCATCTGAAAGATTTCAGTAGAAAATACATCATTAAAAAAGTATTGGAAGACAGTGAGGAATAACTCTGGACTGCTTCAACAAATATATACAATTTTAAAGAGCTGCTAAGGAACAACAATCAAACCCTGAAAACACAGTGCTTAAATTAGAATGCAAGAGAAGAAGAAAACAGGTTTAAGAAAGAAATAGAACAATTCAAGGACAATACAAGCCTTATTCATAAATCTTGCAAAAACAAATTGGTTCTGTGACATCAAATAAAAATATATATATATCTTGATAAACATCACTCAGGGAGTCATTCTGTAGTCCCGTTGCTTTTGATAGAAAAATTTTCTCTCCTTAAGTCTCAATATATTTGTAGCTTTCATTAATGTTTAGAAAAGATGTAACTCTCAGACCTTGGTCCATAATTGTCTTGCTATACTTGATTTGGACTGCTAACTTTGTCACAAGATTTATAGTCTTGTAACAAATTAGGATTAAACATAGTCACCAAAACATTGTCAACTGAGTCAAAGAAGAGGGGAAAAAAACAGCACTCTTATTTTCTTCTTCTTGTAGTTTCCAATACACATCTCTTACAGGCCAAATTGAAAAAAACTGTTTTTATTAAAAACAAACCTTATAATAATCAATATTTAATAAAATTAAAAGTGAATTGTTAGGTTATCACTGAAGTTTGAAAAGAAAATATTTAATTACTGATTACTGTTTGTTATCACTTAATAGGCTGGCATATTTGAGCCTGTTCATTTCTTCCTGCATATTATTGGTGTAGTTTGGTTAAGCTGCCAAATAGAGAATATTGGTGTCCAGGTTATGGTTTAATGGTTTATATTATAAATGGAAATCATACTCAAATAAGTGAATCTTACCTTGTAGCATGTGATTATAGTAAATGGTCCTTCTGTTTAATGCTATTTATTAATAACAAAATAATGAACAAAAATATGTCTTATTTAAAAAGAAGGTATAGTTCATCTCAGTATGTAAAGAAGTGCAAAGTAGAAAACAGATATGCCAGATCATAAAATTATAAAATTTATATCTATTAAGAAGTTCCCAAGGATAATTTTTATCTTCTTTGACTATTATAATTTACCCCACCTATTCTTAAGCTTTTCTTCTAGGCTGTCTTAGTCTATTTGGTGCTACTATAGCAAAAAAGCTGAGATTGGTTAATTTATAGTAAGTCAACATTTATTTGTTTCCTGGTTCTGGAGGCTGGGAAATCTGAGAGCATGGTGCTGGCATCTGGTATTAGTCTTTAATGGCAGAAGGCAGAAGGGCAAGAGGGGCAAGAAAGAGTATGAATTCAGCCTCAGGCTTGCATTGGAGATTGTTTGCAACACATGCATTTTGAGAGATACATTCAAACCATAATGAAAGCCCCTGGGGAAAGCAACCTATTCTTAATCTTTTCTTTAACTTGACCCCAAAAACATGTTCTTTCTCTAGTATTATTAATTTTGATGCAAGTTGATGTCAAAAATCATATTTGCCAATTTCTATCAAAATTTAAAGTGCACATGCAATTTGGCATATTGATTTTATTACTAGAAATTTATAGGTATCCAGAAAAAATATAGAAACATAAATCTAAAATTATGTTCAATGAAGCATTGTTTATAATAGGGGAGACAGATATTAAGAGAGCCAAATATCCATCAGTAAAATATATGGCTTATTAAATTATGAAAAATTATAGTACAATGATACTCTGGGTAGCTCATGGCTAAATTATAACATAGTCACTTTTGAAAGTAAGATAGAAGTATACATGCTGATTTCAAAAAATCTCCAGAATTTATTAAGTCAAAAAGTAAGATTCAAAATGCATTTTAATAGTATAAGCCTATTTTTGTAAAGAAAATGAAATTCTTCAACTTTTAAAAAGTATTTTATATTTTCACCACACACATTTGTGGTATTTTTTTTTTAAGTCAAAAGAAACATTGATAACAAGAACAAAGTCAAAAACAACAGAGCTGTCAAATACGAGAAACTAATATACCTTTTGAAATTTGCTGCTCATCTCAATTCTTTGCAGAAGAAATATATTACAAAACACATTTAAATGGATATTGTACAATTCAATAAAATAGCCTTGCAGTGTTTATGTTAAAATTAATATCACTATGTATATGACATAAAGGAGTTATCTACTGGCAATTTTCTAATGTTTGCACAATAATTCACAGCCTGTAAACACAGCAGCAGGTAGAAGATTGATCTTGACATGGTTATTCACTGTTCTTATCAGGAAAACAAATTCACTCCTCATCCAGGTGATGATGAACATTCCTTTGAAATCAATGATATTATGATAACTATAATATTGTGGGAACTATCCTGCTTATCAAAAGTGAAACAAGAAGAAAGGCCTTTCACGATCAGAAAAATAAAATTAAAAACCAGAGCTGCAAAACAGAATTGTCTACATTGAGTAAACAGCTTGATCAAGTGAAATAATTTAGAACATGTAGAAAATTTAAAAATCCATTTATGATGATGGGTTTAGAATCATAATCCTAGGATGTTATATATAAAAAAATGGTGTTTAGAGGGAAATTTATAGCACTAAATGCCCACAGGAGAAAGTGGGAAAGATCTAAAATCGAAACCATAACATCACAATTAAAACAACTAGAGAAGCAAGAATAAACAAATTCAAAAGCTAGCAGAAGACAAGAAATAACTAAGATCAGAGCAGAAGTGAAAGAGATAGAGACACAAAAAAGCCCTTCCAAAAAAAAAAAATCAGTGAATCGAGGAGCTGGTTTTTTGAAAAGATTAACAAAATAGACCACTAGTTATATTAATAAAGAAGAAAAGACAGAAGAGTCAAACTGACACACTAAAAAATGATAAAGGGGATATCACCACTGATCCTACAGAAATACAAACTACCATCAGAGAATACTATAAACACCTCTATGCAAATAAACTAGAAAATCTAGAAAAAAATGGATAAATTCCTGGACACATACACCCTCTCAAGACTAAACCAGGAAGAAGTCGAATCCTTGACTAGACCAATAACAAATTCTGAAATTGAGGCAGTAATTATTAGCCTACCAACCAAAAAAAAGCCCAGGACCAGATGGATTCACAGCTGAATTCTACTAGAGGGACAAAGAGGAGCTGGTACCATTCCTGCTGAAACAATTCCAAACAATAGAAAAAGAGGGACTCCTCCCTAATTCATTGTATGAGGCCAGCATCGTCCTGATACCAAAACCTGGCAGAGACACAACCAAAAAAGAAAATTTCAGGCAAATACCCCTGACGAACATCGATGTGAAAATTCTCAATAAAATACTGGCAAACTGAATCCAGCAGCACATCAAAAAGCTTATCCAGCATGATCAAGTCGGCTTCATCCGTGGGATGCAAGGCTGGTTCAACATATGCAAATCAATAAACAGAACCAATGACAAAAACCACATGATTTATCTCAATCGATGCAGAAAAGGCCTTCGATAAAATTCAATACCTCTTCATGCTAAAACCTCTCAATAAACCAGGTATTGATGGAATGTATCTCAAGATAGTAAGATCTATTTATGACAAACCCAAAGCCAATATCACACTAAATGGGCAAAACTGGAAGCATTCCCTTTGAAAACTGACACAAGACAAGGATGCATTTTCTCACCACTCCTATTCAACATAGTATTGAAAGTTCTGGCCAGGGCAATCAGGCAAGAGAAAGAAATAAAGCATATTCAAATAGGAAGAGAGGAAGTCAAATTGTCTCTGTTTGCAGATGCATAATTATATATTTAGAAATCCCCATCGTCTCAGCCCAAAATCTTTTTAAGCTGGTAAGCAACTTCAGTAAAGTCTCAGGATACAAAATCAATGTGCAAAAATCACAAGCGTTCCTATACACCAATAATAGACAAACAGCCAAATCATGAGTGAACTCCCATTCACAATTGCTACAAATAGAATAAAATACCTAGGAATACAACTTACAAGGGATGGGAAGGACCTCTTCAAGGAAAACTACAAACCACTGCTCAAGGAAATAAGAGAGGACACAAAGAAATGAAAAAACATTCCATGCTCATGGATAAGAATAATCAATATCATGAAAATGGCACATTGCCCAAAGTAACTTACAGATTCAATGCTATTCCCATCAAGCTACCATTGACTTTCTTCACTGAATTAGAAAAAAATACTTAAAATTTCATATGGAACCAAAAAAGAGCCTGTATAGCCAAAACAATCCTAATGAAAAAGAACAAAGCTAGAGGCAACATGCTACCTGACTTCCAGCTATACTACAAGGCTACAGTAACCAAAACAGCATGGTACTGGTGCCAAAACAGATATATAGACCAATGGAAGAGAACAGAGGCCTCAGAGATAACATCACAAACCTACACCCTCTGATCTTTGACAAACCTGGCAAAAACAGCAATGGGGAAAGGATTCCCTATTAAATAAGTAGCGTTGGGAAAACCAGCTAGCCATATGCAGAAATATAAAACTAGACCCCTTCCATACACCTTATACAAAAATCAAATCAAGATGGATTAAAGACTTAAATGAGAGACCTAAAACCATAAAAACCCTAGAAAACCTAGGCAATACCATTTAGGACACAGGCATGGGCAAAAACTTCATGACTAACACACCAAAAGCAATTGCAATAAAAGCCAAAATTGACAAATGGGATCTAATTAAACTGAAGAGTTTCTGCAATGCAAAAGAAACTATCATGAGAGTGAACAGACAACCTACAAAATGGGAGAAAATTTTTGCAATCTATCCATCTGACTAAAGGCTAATATCCAGAATCTACAAGGAACTTAAACAAATTTACAAGAAAAAAATAAACAACCCATCAAAATTAGGCAAAGGATATGAACAGAAACTTCTCAAAAGAAGACATTTTGCGGCCAACAAACATATGAAAAAAAGCTTATTATCACTGATCATTAGAAAAATGCAAATCAAAACCACAATGAGATACCATCTCATACTCATTAGAATGGTGCACTGAAAAGTCAGGAAACAACAGATGCTAGAGAGAATGTAGAGAAATAGGAATGCTTTTACCCTGTTGGTGGGAGTGTGAATTAGTTCAACCATTGTGGAAGATAGTGTGGTGATTCCTCAAGGATCTAGAACAAGAAATACCATTTGACCCAGCAATCCCATTACTAGATATCTACCCGAAGGATTATAAGTCATTCTACTGTAAGTGCACATGCACACATGTGGCTTTATAGTATGTTTATTGCACATACTATATAAACACAAATCTATGTTTATTGCAGCACTATTCACAATAGCAATAAACACACATGTATGTTTATTACAGCACTATTCACAATAGCAAAGACTTGGAACCAACCCAAATGCCCATCAATGATAGACTAGATAAAGAAAATGTGGCACATATACACAATGGAATACGATGCAGCCATAAAAAAGGATGAGTTCTTGTCCTTTTGAGGGACACTGCATATTCTCACCCATAAGTGGGAGTTGAACAATGAGAACACATGGACACAGGGAGGGGAACATCACACACTAAGGCCTACTGGGGGGTGGGGGTCTAGGGGAAGGATAGCATTATTAGAAATACCTAATGTAGATGATGGGTTGATGGGTACAGCAAACCACCATGGCACGTGTATACCTATGGAGCAAACCTGCACGTTCTGCACATGTATCCCAGAACTTAAAGATAATAAACACACACACACAAAGAGAGACTACATTATAAGTGTTTTCACTATACATGCAAAAAAAAAAAGGTAACTGTGAGGTGATGGATGTGTAAATCAGCACACATATCTAAACATTACATTCTACACCTTAAACATATGTAATTAAAAAAAAAAGGATGCTTGCTGCTATGTATAAACCAGGGTCTCCCAACCTTGGCACTATTGACATTTTGGGTCAGAGAATTCTTTGTAATGAGGATGCTGCCTGTTGCATTGTAGGATATTGAGCAGCATCCATTACCCTTTAACCACTGGATGCCAGTAACACCCCTGCTTCCACTCTTCCATCCCAACTGTGATAACTAAAAATGTCTCCAGATATGTCAAATATTCCCCAAAGGGGCAAACTATTCCTTGTTGAGAATCTCTGAAGTAGACTATATTGACAAATTTGAGAGATTTAAATGCTGTTTTTATTGCTGTTATTCCATGTTCCTTAGTAAGATATTCAATTTAGGATCCAAATATTTATATATATATATGTAAATGAGGATATATAAAAATATTTAACAATTATTTTGGCCTGATCATTTGATCAATCAAAATAGTCACTGGTGGTAGAGCTAGAGGCCTCTGCTGGCCCAGGAAATCTTCCTTAGCTGGTAGGCTCTGGATAGGTCTTGTTATAGGACTCAAGGGAGTTGCTGTGTCCAGGGGAGAGAAGCCACTGGGGGCCAGGGAATCCCTGACTTTTTACTATTAAACAAATACTTCATTATTGTAGCAACTGGTTCAGCCCATTTTAGTGTGTACTGACCGAACACCAGTATATTCAACACAAAATATTTTATGAAATAATAACTCTCTGACGATGAACATTGATAATTTTTATTCTATTATTATTTTATTTCTCTTCCTACTTTTCTTAATGTTGACATCATCAGCTAAACTGTATTTATTGAACACATTGGTAAGTCATAATTCACACTTCTTTGATAAATACTGAACTAAATGTGTATCATGCCAATCACACAAGTATGTCTGATTTTTCTTCATAGAAAAGAAAACAATACTGATTTGAGGCAGATTCCTTTTACAATGTCACACAGTTTTTGAGTTTTGACATAATACTTGTGCCAAGATGGCATCTGTCTTTATGTATAATTTGTAACTGCCAGATATTTATGGTGCAAAGGGTATCAAAAGATATCCTAACTCAATTTATATCATCTACCAACCTGCTTGAAATTCCCCTAATTGACCAGGCCTTCTAGGGCTCACCACTGATAGTTTGGTTTAAGTTCATACATTTTATTAGTGGGACAATAGTTAAATTTATTATTAGCCCATAACGTCTTTGCAATAATTCAAAGGCAGTATACTTTAGTGGTTAAGAGTATGCACATTGGAGACCTACAGATAGCATAGGCACATCCTAGTTTTGCTACTTTTTATCTGAGAGTTTTAGGGCAATGTACTGAACTTACACAAGCTTAATTTATCTCAAAAGTTGGAATAATGATAGTACCTACTGCATCTCGTTAATGTGACAATTAAATAATGTATGCAAAGGGTTTAGGTCACTTCCCACATGTAGTAAATGCTCCATGAATGCTACTATTAACTGGAATGATAACATCAATATGCTAATAATCTGAATGTCAAGTCATGCCATTCTGTGAGTATCAGAAAGAGGAAATATATAACATGACATATGAGAGAGTGTTAAGGTTGCTTTCAGCTCTAAAACAAAGTCTGTTGGATCATACTTCCCACAATTTTGTGGGAAGTCATTTGAGGTCTGTAACCGAAAATGTATCATTTATATAGATTAATAACAAGAATTTTTTTTATTTACATGATTAGGATAGATATTACACTACAAGGGGAAAAGCTGTCTGGATAAGATTTTTCGGTGACATTTTCCAATTAAAGGCATCTGGAAGCTTTTGAAGAACAAACTGGGTTGCTATTTTTAGAGCTCAGTTTAACAATTGTTAGACTTTTTGTGCTTTATGTTATTCATTTTTTACCCCTTTAACAAAAGTGTAGAAATGTTCTACAATTTGAGCCTCATATATACCAGCATCTGCTATATAGCAATTCACATATGTTGTCTTCTTAATAAAACACTAGATTGATGGCGGCCTCCTGTAGCTCCCTCAAATGTTAAACCATCAAGGGGTGTAATCTAGGTTGGGAACTGGCAATGTACCACGCAGTCTCATCTGAAAGATGCAGGAAATGGTAAAAACCAGAATCTATTAGTTTTGCTGCTATGAAGATAAGCATTTATGCTTGCAAAATAATGAAACTGGATGTTCTTTTTCAGAATTTGACACAGAAGTATCCAGTTTGAATTTTTTCCCACTTTATATGAAAGGTACTCTGTTTGAGGAGGCCAGGCTGTGATGGTGGTAAAAGACCATCTTTGAAATCCAGGTAGTGGCACTTTAGTTAGTTTTGTTTGGAAATTACTCTGTGATTCTTTATCTCATTTAGCAATAATCTGAAATGAAATGTGAGAGCTAAAAGGTCAGATATCAATAAATTCAGCTTATCTTCATAAATGTGGTAAAAGAGGTAAGAATTCTCTGTTTCTGCTTATTTCTGTAGTTTAGAATTCATTTTCAAATTCAAGTTTGAAATTCATATATATATATATATATATATATATATAGCCAGTGCATCACGATTCTGGTATGGTTAAGATGAAATACACTTCTAGCCTCTTCCATTCATTACAACTAAAAATTCTATGTAATGTACATAAAACATTATTCAAGGACTAAAATGTAAATATAGCAGATAGATTTGGGATGAAAAACTTGATGAAAGACTAACACAGTAGTTATCTTCCTCTCTGTCACTCACTCCCAACTGCACGTCCTTCTTAGCCTCAGAGAAGTCTAAATTTGCAACTGCACAAAATGTGTTGCCATGGAAAACCCTCTTTCTCTGGTCGGAGGAGTAATAAAGGGAACCTTGGAAACAGAAAGGGTGGTAGACATTTCTGTTTCTTTTTCACTCCCAACTCTACCTGCCCTGGAGGTCCTCAAGCTTCAAATCCTATGGTGTTGAATAGGTAGCAGTTGTCAGGTTTACTAATTTGCCCTAGAGGAAAATACACTTACAGGAGATATGCAACAGTGTCAGAACTTTAAAATCCTGGCTTTCTGGCCAGGGAAAAGGAAGAATATGCTCTGAGACAAAGTGAAGTTGGGAGATTATGAAGAAGAGAGAATTGTTAAGAGGATCAAGAAGAAGAACTGTGTGTGAGGTCCTAGCTGTGCATGTGTGAAAATGATGCAAAAGCCAACCACTTGGAGAACTGACCAATAAGGCATATCAACCTCCATGTCTCAGATAGTTCCCTGGGTGGCATATAAGCAGTTAGATCCAAATAACAAAGCAGAAGCTTTAAAAGCTGAACTAACACCAGAACCACAGGTCACATTAAACAGAAGAGGACTTGAAGCCCAAACCAAAGAAGGTTGATTATTTGTTTAAACAAACAAAGAAAGGAAAGAGTCAATATTATCCAGAAGATTTTAACAGGAACCTGAGACTAATAACATAGTATTTTGAATACCCGGGACACAATAGAAAATTATGCAACATATAAAGAAACAGAAAATTTTCAACAACTTTCAAGAAGAAGAAAACAGTTGCCAGACACACAATGACCAGATACAAATTTTCAATCAGTTATAACCTAGCTCTATAAAATAAGTGTGAGAACTCTTGAAACAAATTGAAAGATTAAAAATTTCAGAAGAAAAAAATAAATTATTTGAAAGGTAGATATTTTAAAACTGAAATACATCAAAAACCCTAAAAACTGCCTGAATGGCTCAAAAGCTGATTGAAAATTATAGAGGGAAAGATTTAGTGAAATTGAATATATATATAT
Organism: Homo sapiens; assembly: GCF_000001405.40. Classification (NCBI taxonomy): domain Eukaryota; kingdom Metazoa; phylum Chordata; class Mammalia; order Primates; family Hominidae; genus Homo; species Homo sapiens. Next base: position 162,311,218 of record NC_000005.10, read on the forward strand.
GTGTGTGTTTCTGTGTGTGTGTGTGTGTGTGTGTGTGTGTGTGTATTTAGAGGCAGGTTCTCAGTCACCTAGGCTGAAGTACAGTGGCATGATCATAACTCACTGCAACCTCAAACTCCTGTGCCCAAGCTATCTTCCCATCTCCCAACACTCTGGGATTACAGGTATAAGCCACTGTATCAGCCTTTAATGTAAATTAACAGAAACAATCAGAATAAGAAGAGAAAATATTAAAAATAAAAAAAACTCAGAAACCTGTGAAAAATAATACCAAAAGTTCTAATATTTGTGTCATTATAGTCTCGTGAAGATAGCAAAAAGTTTGTATTCCCTCATTCCTTTAAAATGAAGAAATAGTATCTGAAAACTCCCCAAATTTGGTGAAAGAAAAAAAGTGTGCAGATTTAGGAAACTCTATAAACAACAAAGAGTATAAGCTCATAGAAAAACACATCTGTTCATATCCTAATTAAACTGCTTACAAAGAAAAAGGAAAAATAAAACTTGAAAACAGTCAGAGACAAATGACATGCAACAATATGGAAACAGCAGTTCTAATCATTGTGGCTTTCTCATCATAAACCATGAGGGTGAGCAAAGTTGAATACATTTTTTTAAATACTGAAAGCACACAATTGTCAACCAGGAATTCTACTTCAAGCAAACATGTTCTCCAGGAATCATGGTGAAATAAAAGTATTTTCTAACAAAGTAAAACTAAGATAATTTGACTCTAGAAGCACTGCTTCAAAAGAAATAAGATTATATTTTAGGCAAAAATAAATGTCAGAATAAAAGTTGAAAAATCAGGAATAACGAAATAGCAACACAAATGGTAAATATATGGGTAAGTATAATAGATTATTTTACTCCTTGTACGGTATTTAAAATGTGTGTGACAGTTAAAAGCACATATTTAAAATTGACTGGTGGGTTTTCAATTTTTCCATATATAATACATAATGTGGCAATTATAGAATAAGGAGGGAAGATAAAGGAACTTTAAAGATTGTAAGGGCCCCACATATCACTTGAAAAGATAAAATATCAACTTGATGTGAAGTTGAAAAGTCATATGTACATATCATAAGTCCAATACAAACCACTAAAATAAACATTTTAAAAGATGTAGTAAAATTAATAGATAAATTAAAATGCAATTTTAAAAATTATTCATATTATCAAACAGGGAGCAGAGAAAAGAGGATGACAGAAGAAACAAAATGAAAACATGTAATAAAAGAGTAGCCTAAATCCAAACATATTAATAAAACATTGAATGTAAATAATCTAAGACAACCAATTTAAAGACAAAGGTAATGAGATTGAGTTACAAAGACACCCAAATACATGCTGTTTATGAGAACTCAGTTTGAATATCTATAAATTAAGCATTTATAAAGTGGACAAAAGTTATAACATACTAATAAAAAACAAAGAAAACTTTCAGGGATAAAAAGAACATTATATACTGATAAAAAACATTTCATCAGAACATATAATAATCATAAATTACATGCACTTAACAAAATAACTTTGAAATATGTGTTCACGTGTGTGTGTACACATGCATAATCATGAATGTGTTCCCCCTAAATTTATACGTTAAAACATAATCACTAATATTACTAGAAGGTTGAGACTTTCAGAGATTTTCAGACTTTCTCTTCTTTTTAGAGAAATTCAGATCTTAGACTTCTCAGCCTCCATACCTGTGAGAAATAAATGTTTATTGCTTATAAGCTACCCAGTTTATGATATTTTTTGTAGCAACCCAAATGAACTAAGAGAGTTAGAGACATAAACACTCCCTCAATGTGATTGATAGAAGTAGACAGAAAATCAATAAGAAAATAAAAACTTGAATAATACCCACAAATACCTTGACATAGTTGACATATATAGAACCCTTCACCCAAAAGCCTGTGAATACATTTTTATATGCATATGAAACAATTGCCACAACTGAGCATATTCTGCATCACAGAAAAATATATTGACAGTTTAACCAAAAAATTAAATTTTGTAAATGTTATCTTGTCACTACAATGAGATCTGAATAGAAATAAATAACAGAAAGCTACCTGGAAAATCCCTATACACATAAAAATTAAGCTACACATTTTTAGATAATCACTAGGTCAAAGAGGAAGTCTCAAGATAAATTCAGAAATATTTTGAACTGAATGAAAACAAAATTATATCATTATTTGTGGAATACATCAAAAATACAAATTAAAAACATAGCATTAAATACATTTATTAAAAAGTTCTAAAATTACTACTTCACACTTCCACCTGAAGGATCTAGAAAAAGAAGAGAAATTTAAACCTAAATAATGCAGAAAAAGGAACTAAAAATACAAGCTGATAGCAAAAACAGATTAAAACAGAAACACTTGAAAAAAATAAATAAAAAGGTGGTTATTTGTAAACATCAATAAAATTGATTAAATGGTAGCCAATTTGACTAGGAAATGAGTAAAGACAGGGTTCTTGTGTCAAGAATGAAAGAGGAAATGGCTTTATAAACTCCATAGACACTAAAAATGTAATAAAGGAATCCTGCAAAAAAACACTATGGGGAGGGGAAAAATGAAGAGAACTTCTTTAATGGGTACAAAATTACAGTTAGATAGAATAAATAAGTGATAGTAATTGATAATGCAGTAGGAAGACTATAGTTAAAAATAATTTAGTATATATTTTGAAATAGCTAGAAAAAAAGAATATTCCCAATAGAAATAAAAGTATACGTTAGAGGTGAAGGATAGACCAGTTATCCTGATTTGGTCATTATACATTGTATACAGGTATCAAAATATCACATGTACCCCCAAAATATGTATCACTATTATATATCAATGAAAAATAATAAACACTATCAACATAACTTGTACATGAAGGAAATAAAACATTTTCTTGAAAAAGATGAACTAAGAAAACTTTCTTAAGAAGACAGATAATCTAAGGAGTCATGAATCTAATAATAAAATTGAATTCATAGTTAAACCCTTTTTAAAGAATTGTCAAACCTGAATGGTTTCACTGGTGAATTCTACTATATGTTTAAAGAAGAAATAACACAAATATTATAAAAATCTCTTCCTAAAAGTGGAAGAAAAGGGAATATTTATCAATTTATTTTGTTATGCCCGATTGTCCTAATACCAAACCCAGATAAAGACAGTACAGGAAAAGAAAACCAAAGAAAGAGCAATCACAAATATAGATGCCAAAATCCTCAACAAAGTATTAGCACATTGAATCTACCAATAAATACAAAGAATAAACCATCATCAAATAAAGTTAGTCTCAGGAAATGAAATATTAAAAACCAATATCAGAAAATCAATCAACATACTCCATCATATCAACAGGCATACAAATAAAAAACCCATGATCATATGAGTAGATAACAAAAGAAGTTAGCAAAGACAACAACCATTCATGATTTAAAAAAAATACTTCCACAAACTTATAAATAAAAAAAGTCTTTTATGTGATAAATGGCGGCTACATAAAACCCACATCTAACGTCATGTTTAATATTGAAAAACAGAATACTTCTCATTAAGATCATGACCAAGACAAAGATGTTCAGTCTCACCAGCCCTATTTAATATTGTGCAAAAATCTTTACAATTTCAATGATGCAAGGAAAGGAAACAACACATACTGAAATTGAAAAGGAAGAAATGAAACTGTCCCTAATCTAGGAGATAAGATTTTCTATATAGAAAGTTTCAAATAATGTACAGAAGAGCTCCTAGGACTTACAATAGAGTTTATTGAGGTTGCAGAATATGATATGAAGATACTAACGTCAATATTGCTTTTATATACTATTAATCAACGTGTGAACATAGACAAAGCACCATTTATAGGAGTTTCAAATAATGAATTAGTTAGGCATAAAGTTACCAACAAATGCTTAGTAAATGTTGAATCTATAAAATGCTAATGAAAGATATCAAGTAAGACACAGTACATGAAGAAATATCTGGTGTTCATTGAATGGAAGAGCCAATATAATTAAGATACCAATCCCAATAAAACTTCTGTAGGATTTTTAATAGAAATATACAAATTAATTATAATCTTTATATTCAAAGACATAATAATCAACATAATTGTTATGAAACTATTACAGATAAGACAGTATGTCATTGACAAAGAGAGATACATAGCTCAGTGAAACAGAACAATAAAAACAATTATAATTCATGGATTTTTAAGAAAATGAGAAAGTCGAGTTAATGGAGTAAGGATGATCTTTCTAACAATGGGTGATTAAACATTTGGATATTCACTTACCAATGAAAAAAAAGTACCAGAAGGTTTGCCTTATAGAAAATGTACTCAAAATGGATTATACAGTAAATTGTAAAATGCCAAACTCTAAAATTTTTAGAGGAAAACTTAGGGAAAGATCTATGTCTCCTTGAGTTATCCAAAGACTTCTAAAACATATTTCAAGTCACATATCCAGCAAAGAACTTGATATACAGAATATATAACTAAGTCTTAAATCAAGAGTAAGAAAACAAACAATTTAATCAAAATATGGGCAAAAAAATTGAATATTTACTGTAACACAGAAGTCATATGGATGGCAACTAAGCATATGAAAAGCTGCTCAACCTTATTAGTCATTATTGAAATGCAAATTGAAACCAAAATGCTAGGCTATACTAATATACACTTATTAGAATGACTATAGTGAAAAACACTGATAATACCAAATTCTGACTACTACATGGAACAACTGGATATTGATTACAGGTGGGACTGCAAAATGGTACAGCCACTCAAGAAAATAGTTTGCTCATTTCTCTCAATGCTAAATATTTCACTCCACTCTCTTCTTGCTTGCATGGTTTCTGAGAACTTGGATATATTCAGCTCTCCATATTTGCGGGATCTGCATATGGGGATTCAAGTACCGTAGGTCAAACCTCTTTAGGAACAAAAATAAATAACAATATAAAAATGCAAATGAACAGCAATACAGCATAACAACTATTTACATAACATTTGCATTTTATTAGCTATTAAAAGTAATCTCGAGTTGATTTCAAGTATGCAGAAGATGTATGCAGTTTATATGTAAATGATATGCGATCTTATAGAACGAAATTGGGCATTCTCAGATTTTAGTATCTGGGAGGGTTCCTGTAAACAATCCTCCTTTGAATGAATATGGGGACAATTTTAATTGCTATCTTTGCTTCTCTATAGGTCTGGTGATTTTTCTGTCTTCTTACAAGATTTTTTTCTTCATCTTTGATTTTTTGAAGTTTGAAAATGGTATACCTGGATGTGATTGTGTCTGTATTTATCATGCGTTGTGTTCTTTGAGCTTTCTGGGTCACTGGTTTGATGTTTGACATTAATTTCAAACAATTCTCAGTCATTACTGTTTCAAATATTACTTCTGTCTCTCTCTCTCTCTCTCTCTCTGTCTCTCTCTCTCTCTCTCTCTGTCTCTCTCTCTCTCTCTCTGTCTCTCTCTCTTCTCCTTGTTTTCCCATTGTGTGTTTATACCTTTTGTAGTTGCCTAACATTGTTGAATATTTTGTTCTTTTTTTATCTTTAGTCATTTCTCTCTTTGCTATTCAATTTCAATGTTTTCTGTTGTTGTATCCTCAATTGCAGATTCTTTATTCAGCTGTGTCCCGTCTACTAATGAGTTTATCAAATTCATTCTTTATTTCTGTTTAGGGTTTTTGGTGACTACCAATTTTTAAAATTATTTCTTAGAATTTTAATCTCTCTACATTATTCATCTGTTTTTGCATGTTGTTTGCTTTTTCCATTAAAGCTTTTAGTATATTAATCATAGTTGAAAAAAATTCTTATAATTCCAACATTCCTGCTGTATGTAGTTCTGATGCTAGTTAAGAGACAAAAAAAAAGCAAAAACACAGTCTCTTGGAACTGCATTTTTTGGCTTTTTTTATTTAGTATGCCTTGTAATGTTGTGTTGAAAAGTGGGCATGGTGTATAGGTTAAAAGTTAACTGAAGTAAATGCAGTTGTAAGGTGTGGAAGGAGGGAAAGCATTCTATCATCCTGCGATTAGGTTTTAATCTTTTAGTAGCCCTGGACTGTGAACTTCACCATTGTTTCTAGGTCTCCCATCTCCCTTAAATCAAACAGGACAGCTAGAGGAGAATGGAGTTAGGCATTACCTTTCTAACAGGTCAGTTAAGCTCATACTCCAGCAAGTTAGATTCTGGTTAACTGGTTTCTCCAGAGGACAGAACTTGTCAAGAACAGATGGCTCTAGCATGTTTCAAAATGATTCCTTTTCCCCTCTCTCTGCTTGGCAGATAAAGAGATTTTCTCTGTGAGAGATATATATATATATATTTATATTCTTTTTTGAGATGGAATCTCAATTGGTTACCCAGGCTGGCGTGCAGTGGCGCAATCTCAGCTCACTGCAACGTCTGCCTCCTGGGCTCAAATGATCCTCCCACCTCAGCCTCCAGAGTAGCTGGGACTACAGGCATGCACCACCACACCCAGATAATTTTTCGTATTTTTGCTAGAGACAGGTTTTGCCACTGATATTGTTTGACTGTGTCCCCACCCAAATCTCATCTTGAATTCCCATGTGTTGTGGGAGGGACCCGGTGCAAGGTAATTGAATTGTGGAGGCAGATCTTTCCCATGGTGCTGTTCTCGTGATAGTGAATGAGTCTCATGAGATCTGATGGTTTTATAAAAGGAGTTCCCCTGCACAAGTTTTCTGTTCTTTTGTCTGCCACCATGTAAGACATGCCTTTCACCTTCACCATGATTGTGAGGCCTCCCCAGCCACATGGAACTGTAAGTTCATTAAACCTCTTTCTTTTGTAAATTGCTCAGCCTCAGGTATGTCTTTATCAGGAGTGTGAAGATGGACTAATACAATAAATTGGTATTGGGAGTGGGGTGCTGCTGAAAAGATACCTAAAAATGTTGAATCGACTTTGGAACTGGGTAACAGGCAGAGGTTGAAATAGTTTGGAGGGCTCAGAAGAAGACAGGAAAAGGTGGGAAACTTTGGAGTTCCCAAAGACTTGTTGAATGGTTTTGAACAAAATGCTGATAGTGATATGGACAATGAAATCTAGGCTGAAGTGGTCTCAGATGGAGGTAAGGAGCTTGTTGGGAACTGGAGTAAAGGTGATTCTTGGTATATTTCAGCAACGAGACTGGTGGCATTTTGCCCCTGTCCTAGAGATTTGTGGAACTTTGAACTTGAGAGAGATGATTTAGGGTATCTGGTGGAAGAAATTTCTAAGCAGCAAAGCATTCAAGAGGTGACTTGGGTGCTGTTAAACGCATCCAGTTTTATAAGGGAAGCAGAGCATAAGCATAAAAGTTTGGAAAGTTTGCAGCCTGACAATGCAATAGAAAAGAAAATTTCATCTTCTGAGGAAAAATTCAAGGTGGTTGCAGAAATTTGCATGAGTAACGAGGAGCTGAATGTTAATCACCAAGACAATGGGGCCAATGTCTCCAGGGCATGTCAGAGGACTTCATGGCAACCCTCCCATCACAGGCCCAGACTCAGAGGCCTGGGAGGAAATGATGATTTCCTGGGCTGGGTCTAGGACTCCCTTGCTGCGTGAAGCCTAGGGACTTAGTGCCCTGCATCCTAGGCACTCCAGCCATGGCTGAAAGGGGCCAAGGTACAACTCAGGCTGTGGCTTCAGAGAATGGAAGCCCAAGCATTGGCAGCTTCCACATGGTGTTGAGTCTGCAGGTGGACAGAAGTCAAGAATTGAGGTTTGGGAATCTCTGCCTAGATTTCAGAGGTTATATGAAAATGTGTGGATATCCAGGCAGGAGTTTGCTGCAGGGCAAAGCCCTCAAGGAGAACTTCTGCTAGGGCAGTGTGGAAGGGATATGCAAAGTTAAAGCCCGCACACAGAGTCTCTACTGGGGCACTGTCTAGTGGAGCTGTGAGAAGAGGTCCACCATCCTCCAGACCCTGGACTGGTAGATACACTGACAGTTTGCACCATACACCTGGAAAAGCCACTCACTCAATGCCACCCCACAAAAGCAGCCAGGATGGAGGCTGTACCCTGCAAAGCCACAGGGGCAGAGCTGTCCAAGACCAAGGGAACCCACCCTTTGCATCAGCATGACATGGATATGAGACATGGAGTCAAAGGATCATTTTGGAGCTTTAAGATTTGACTGCCCTGCTGGATTTCAGAATTGCATGGGGCCTATAGCCACTTTGTTTTGGCCAATTTCTGCCATTTGAAATGGTTGTATTTACCCAATGCCTGTACCCCCATTGTATCTAGAAGTAGCTAACTTGCTTTTGATTTTATAGGCTAATAGGCAGAAGAGACTTGCCTTGTCTCAAATGAGACTTTTGACTGTGGACTTCTGAGTTAATGCTTAAATGAGTTAAGACTTTAGGGGACTGTTGGGAAGGCATGATTGGTTTTGAAATATGAGGACATGAGATTTGGGAGGGGCCATAGGCAGCATGACATAGTTTGGCTGTGTCTCCACCCAAATCTCATCTTGAATTCCCACCTGTTGTGTGAGGGACCAGGTGAGAGGTAATTGAATCATGGGGGCAAGTCTATCCCATGCTGTTCCCTTGATAGTAAATAGGTCTCATGAGATCTCTTGGTTTTATAAGAGGAGTTCCCCTCCACAAGTTCTCTCTTCTTTTATCTGCTGCCATATGAGACATGTTTTTCACTTCTGCAATGATTCTGAGGCCTCCCCAGCCACATGGAACTGTAAGTCCATTAAACCTCTTTCTTTTGTAAATTTCCTAGTCCTGGTTATGTCTTTATCAGCAGCATGAAAATGGATTAATGCAGCCATGTTGGCCAGGCTGGTCTTGAACTCCTAGTTCAAGTTATTCTCCCTCCTTGGCCTTCCAAAAGGCTAGGATTATAGGCGTGAGCCACTGTGCCCAGCCATCTCTGTGATATTTTCTGTGAGAACTGGTCAGAGTTCCTAGAAGTAAAACTAACAAAAATGTGAGGGTCCCCCTATGACTGGGTACCCCTGAAGTTTGTAACTCTCATACTTGTCCACGTTGAGCCTCTAGCAGTTCATCAGTTATAGTTTAGGATTTTCTTATCCTAGTACTGGCTCCTTCTCAGGGTTTTCTGCCCTGGTAAACTGTGATTCTCTGCACTTATCTACCTGTCTCTCCAATTTGTGGGGGCAGTGGTTTTCTCTGTGGCCTCATTTCTCCGATAGATATCAGAGAAGTTGTTGATTTTTCAGTTTGTTCATCTTTTTAGTTGTTGTTAGAACAGAGTGGCTACTTCTAAGTTTCTTATATGCTGGACTGGAAACTGGAAGTCCAGTTGTTTTGTATAATGTTAAATTTGCCCTTACCATATGACCCATCCATCCCACAAAGCCTACATATGAAGATTTACAGCAATCAATGTACAATCACCAAAAACTGGAAACAACCCAAATTACTTTTAGTAAGGAAATGGATAAATTCTGGTACAAATGTACAATGTAATACTTCTCAACAATAAAATAAATGAGCAACTAGTATATACAAAAACATGAATGAATTCTAAAGACAGTATGACAAGTGAAAATAGCCAGTCTCAAAGGTTACCTTCTAAATTACTTTAAAAATAAATATATTGGAAAACAACAAAAAAATTTGAATGGAGAGCAGGTTATTGGTTGCCAGGGATGGGGTGGGAGGGGGGTTTGGCCACCAAGTGGCAGCACAAGAGAGTTCTTTGGGGTGTTATAAATATTATGCATTCCAATTGTGCTGGTTGTTACATAAATCTGTAGATGTTTTAAAACTCAGAAATGTGCAATTAAAGAAATACTTTCTGTAAATGTTTAAAGTTTGTTGTAATAAAACCTTTTTTATTTAAAGTAAAAAATGTATACTCAGAAGGTTTTCTATGCATTTTCTCTAGCATATTTATATACAGTCAGTCACAGGGGGGGAAAACTGACACTATGTTGCACTGACAAAAAGTCTAATGAACTAACACTTTGTGACCCAATGTTTTAGCAAGAGTGACCATTATTATGGCACACAGAATATTATTTAATAAAGCAGTGTGCAGAGGGAGTCTTAAAGAAAAAAAGAAATAAACAGAATAAGGGACAAATTCTCTTTGCTTTTGATTGCTGTTTAATGAATCTAATTAGTAAGCCTCAATGGTCCTGTGGAGGCTTTGTGGATTTTTGCATTCATTTAAAAAAATGAAATGAATGTTCTGGCAGCTCCTGAAACAGAATGTTAAGATAAGAAATGTAACACAAAAAGCAATCACCTTGAATCAGAACTGAAGAGCTGACTGGAGGTGCTGCTGAGACTATAAAGAAGTTTGTCTTTTTTTTTTTTTCCTGCAAGATCACCTTGCATTTCAAACCAACAGCTTCACAAAAAATGCAAGAATTAGGGAGAAAAACAACTGTCAGCTGAGTAGAAACTGGTGGGAGGTTAAAACTCTGGAAGATTGGAAGAGAAATCAAACAATATTAGGCAGTAAGCACATTTAGGTTCAGCGAGTTGGCAATTAAGTTGAATGTTAATTAATCAGCAAAAATAAAATGGGGTGACCACCTAGCAGAAAGTCATTTACAAAGGCTTCCATTTCCAGCTAGTCCTGTGAAAGGAGTTCAGAGTTCGCACCTCTCCAGGGCATTTCTCCAGAGTAGGTCAATACAGGTGCCAGCCTGCCTAGCAAATCCTGAAGGTCACACATGTGTTTTCTACCAGAGCCTCTGAGCCCATGTCAGGAACAAGAAGAAGATCTCTCTTTCATCCAAGAGCTGTTTCTTACTCTTTGCTCCGTCTCCCACTGTCATCTTCCACAAAATTGGCTTGCCCTCAGCTTCTATCAGTCACTGTTGCATGATCAAGCTGGCAGCTTCCTGCTCAGTGACACAATACAGAAAACACTGCGTTGACTCTTTACTGTTCCCATGATGTGCAGGCATAAGATGGGTGTATACTAGGCCTGGTAATCATTCCTGTTATCCCAACATCATATGAAGTTTTAAATCATGTGAATCCTCAGATAAGACAAATGCGTGGGTCATTGCAGAATTCAGCTAGCATCGTTAGAGCATCTCCTTTAGATGCTGCTGGACCAAGGTACAATGTGAGCAGGAAGCCTTGATCAAAGGCTTTGCTTTGCTGCCTGGCTTGGCTATACCTCATAATTTGCTAAGGCAAATCTGCAAGACTAGAGTGAAAAAAATTTAAAACAAATGTAGTGGTGGATGCTGGTAAAATGCAGGTCATAGCTTAGGATAAATAGACTCCCTACTTGATTTTCTCCTAGGTTTTTCTGTCAGAATGCAGCTCTTGTTCAATTAGCACCTTTGCAGGTGTATAGCTGATAAGTGAAAGGGAAAACAGGCATGTGATTCATCATCTAGTATTGCCAAAAATAGATGATCATAAAGTAATAATAATAGCTTTAAATGGAAAAGGAAATATGGCAGATAAGGAAAAACATCTGGATTAGCATATTTACTTTTCACCAACTTTGAGGGCATCTTGACAATGTGCAATTTGACTGTTTAAAGGCATAAGTAGTTTGCTACATGAAGAACCTGAGAATAATGTATCTGTTATGTGAATCACTTGAAGAATAAAATCTCTTCATAAACTTATTCAAGGCAGATCAAATCTAGAATTCCATGAAATTAGACACACCATAAATACTTGGTGAGATTATAATATGAGGTTTATTTAATGTCATTTTCTTGACAGTGGATATGAGTTAGATTTGGAAAGCATCTTCTTTTTATGATAATCTGTTTCTGTTCATAATTGGTCATAGAACTCTCGAATTTCTAGTTGTCACTGCATTAGTATTTGTGTATATAGTGTAGAACATACACTGCATTAGTATTTGTGGTCATGTTTATCCCAGGATATGAAGCCAGTGAGGAGTGAAAAAATAATCAACCATCTAAATGGCTGTTTCAAATTTATACAGCACATACACACGCACAAACTGCTTTTACTATTTTTCATTTGTTTGTAAAAAGATAGCTTATACACACAATCTTAGTCAATATATTAAAAGATGAAATAACTAATTTTACAGCATAATATACATTACAAAACTGTAAGAGTTTGACTGAAAACTTAATTTTTCCAATTTCTTTACAGACACAGATTTAACTGACAATGTAATTGATACAGCTCATCAAACGTACAGCTCCAGTCTCATTTCAATGTATACTTACAGCAAAAACAAACAAACATAAAAAATATTAAATTGCTTTTTCTTGATGTTGAGCTTTAAATCTTAACTAAGCCATGCCTCTCAGAAACTTCTGTTAGATAATAAATCAAAACCACCATCCATTCCCTCCAGGAAGAGAATATCTGAAACCAGGCCAGTTGGCATGATTCCCGTGGTCTGTATGTGGTGGGAACATTTGTTATAAACTTAAATGCCTTAGGCCAGGCAGGAAACATAAATAACTAAAGTGATTTGGGTGAGGATTGTGCTGACACAAAAGCACATGGCCTTAGGCACGACAGAGCCACAGGCTTCTCTGACTGCTTTTCTAAATGCCATTGCTGGTTGAGACCAACTTGTTAGAGCTAGGGGTAGAAGTTTAACGACTAAGTAAAAATGCCTAACCAATTTTTCCCTTTTGTAAATGCAGGTCAAGTGTAATTAGATCTGATTTTAAAAGGAAACAATTGTGTATGATGGTTTTTCTTCCTAGTTAAAAACATAAATATATAAACACATACATATGCTTATCCTATGTATACATCATAGATTATAAAATCTAAATTTCATGGTTATGGGCTGAATTGTGTCCCCCGAAAATTCATAGGTTGAACTCCTAACCCTGGTATTTCAGAATATGACTGAATTTGGAGATAGGGTCTTTACAGAGGTAATTCAGTTAAAATGAGGTCACTGGAGTGAATCTTAATCCAGTATGACCAGTGTTTTAAAGAAAAGATTAGGGCACAGACACAGAGGGAAAACCATCTGAGGACAGAGCGAGAAGATGTCCATCTACAAGCCAAGGTTAAATTGAAAACCTTGTCTATACTTTGATCTTGGACTTCTAGCTTTCAGATTTTTGAGAAAATAAATCTCTGTTTTTTGAGCTACTTAGTCTATAGAACTTTGTTATGATAGTCCTAGCAAACTAATACGATCACAGTTTTTTATAAATATGTATCAATAGTTATAAAAAAGCTGAGTGCAATTAAGTGATTCAGTCATCCCTGACGTAGAAAGCATGGATGTTGATTTATGATTTATGAGTTACGATGATCTTTCCATTACACCACTCCCTCACCAGCCCCCATGCCAAAAGAGCTTGCTTTGGGAAGCTTTAATTTAGGAGACTAGCTATTTCCAAACAGCCTGAGATAATTCATTTTTGATGTGTGCCCATGGTCTCTATCACAGACTACATCTTACTTCCAGCAACATAGTTTAGCCAGCCAATTAAACAGAGCAAACAAGTGGACTCCAAAAATACTATATATAATTGTACAGTCTAGTAGAATGGGTTAGAATTAGGCTGTAAACTTGTTTCTTTTTAACAAATTCCTACCACACAGTCACTGAATCTGGGGCATTTCTTCCCTTTGCTTTACTTTTTATGTTGTTTTATATATTTTTGCAGGCAAAACTTTCAGTTTTTCCTTAAAAAGAAAAAAAAACCACTGCACTGAATAAATAACATCACAGAATTCTATACAAAGTTTTATTATTTCATGAGGTCAAATAATGACAGGTTTCAGGTTCTGAATCAAGATCAGATTATCTTAAAGTTTATTCACTTTGTAACTATCTTTTAATTTATGCTAACCATTAATTTTAGGGGTCTCCCTTAGGCACTCACATAATAAAAGTTCGGGGGAATCTTAGATAATTTAATATAATTTCAGACGATAAGCTTTTATTAATTCAATAAGAAACTTTTATCAACTTTTAAACATTGTATGTGTGCTAAAATAAAATTCTTGGCTACTAAAATGCCAATAGCAGTTCTTCAAGCTCAAATTTGTAGCTACTCCAAAAGGCTAAGTTGCCACTGGACAAAGCCAGAGGGTTATCAGGGAAGTCTGTTTACTGTCTTTCGTCACATTGTTTTCTCTATTTTCAAAATCTCTTGAAGGTTTTTTTGCTCTTAGACTCCTAGAGCTTTAAGAAGCTTTCAATCACATTTTCTCACAGCAAGGAAAACTTAGTTCTGACCTTGGAAAGACTTTGGCAGCAGGACCAGAGCCAAATAAAATAATGAAAGACGCAAATTGGTCTTCAGCATTACTTACGTAATTTGCTTCAGGTTTTGCTACTCAGAGCTTTCACAGAAATTTCTCTATATCCACAATCTCATTCTCAGTTTGGGTGATTGCCCCTAGCTCAAGCTATTCCAGGAAACTGCTTCATGCTCTACAACTCAATAGGCCTGAAGTCTTTGAGCACAGAGACCTCTTGGTAGCAGTGTGACCATAAGCAAGTTACTTAGCCTTTCAAATAATCAATTTCTTCATCTGTACAACTGAACTAAGCTCAGTAGCCTATAATCAGAGAAAAAGAGATAATCTATATAAATTACTTAGCATAGAGTCTATCACATGAACTCTATTCTATAAATATTTGTTGCCAGTGAGTCAGACCCCAGCTCTGAGTAAGACAAAGACCACAGTGGAAAGATTCACTGGACTTGAAGCTAGAGCAATAGCAATTATTCAATGTTATTAAATTATTTTCTGGGCAATAGACAAAAAACTAAAATTAAAAACAAAAATTAAGGAGGACTGACTGGACAATAAAGAAATCTAAAATGTGTGTTATCAAAGTTCCAGATAAACAGAGAAAAATGTGTGGTACTGAAAATAACATTAGCCTTCCTTCCAGCAGTGAGAGACATAAGCCTACAGATTCAAAGAAGCACAGAGAATTCAAAACAGGTTAACATATAACTAAAGATGAAAAGCAATACTTGAGGAGAGACAGAGAGAACAGACATATTATATATAGGAGAACAGTAATTTGAAGGACTGATTTCTCTTCAGCAACCAGAGTTCAGAAGGAAGTGGCACAGCCTTTTTAAAGTGCTGACAGAAAGTATAAATACAGAATTCTACATCTAGAAAAAGAATCTTCTACAATTAAAAGTAAAAATAAATATACCACAGGAGAATAAAATCCAATATAATTTGTTTCCAATGAAACTGCTATAAAACATCATTAAAGGACAGTCTTAAACACAAGTGAAATGGGACCAGGAAAATCAGACATAAAGAAAAAGAAACAAAAACGGTAAATATTTGGGTAACTGTATTACCTTATTTTTCTTCTCTTGTGATTTGTACAATATATTTGGTGGTTATATCAACTAACAAAATTTAAGATTGTTGTTGTATTTATCTGCTTTTTTTTTTTTTTGGCTGAGTTCCTGGCATTATAATTTTCTGAGTAGCAGGAGTGTCTGTGTCATTCATGAGCTCCTTTGGATAATACCTGACAGTTTAGACTAATGAGGAGAATCATGGTAGGTTCCTGGATAGTTCTAAGATTGGATCCGTAATGCCACAAAGACAACCATGTGGTTAAAGGGTTGAGTCCATGAGCCAATCTGAACTCTGGGAGGGGAAAGGTTTAAATATTGAGTTCAACCACATTGCCGATGATTTAATCAAGCCTCTGTAACAAAACCTCAGTAAAAACTCCAGACATTGAAGTTCAGTGGAGATTCCTGGTGGGGAAACACATTGATGTGCCTTTGATTCCATGGGACTAGAATGCAGAAGCTATATGCTGGTGAGTCTTCCAGATGTCACCCTATGTTTCTCTTTATTTGGCTGATCCTGATTTGTATCCTTAATAATAAAATTGCTGGTATAGATCTTTCCTGATAAGCTTTTTAGCAAATGATGGTGCAATAACTGGACATCCACTTGCAATAAATAAATAAATCTAAACACAACCTTACATCCTTTACAGAAATTAATTCAAAATGGATAACAGCCCTAAATGTAAAATGCAAAATGATAAGACTCATAGAAGAAAACATAGGTGAAAATCTAGATGACCTTGGACACAGCAATGATTTTTTTGGTATGACACCAAAAGCACACTCCATGAAAGAAAGAATTGATAGGCACAACTTCATTAAGACTAAAAGTTTCTCCTTTGCAAAAGACACTGTCAAGAGAATGAAAAGACAAGCCACAGACTAAGAAGAAATATTTGCAGAAGACATATCTGAAAAAGGACTGTTTTCCAAAATATATGTAATATTCTTAAAACTCAACAATAAGAAAACAAGCAAATTTATCAACGGACCAAAGACATTAACAGACAACTAACCAAATAAAATGTATAGATGGCAAATAAGCTTATGAAAAGTTGCCTTGGGGGGCCAAGAAGGCTGACTAGAAGCAGTAGCGAGTGGAGGAGGCTCCCATGGAAAAGATCCAAAACAGTGTGCGAATCCTGCACCAGCAACTGAGGTATTCAGGTTCTGTCATTAGGACTGACTAGACAGCTGGTGTGATCACAGAGAGGAAGGAAGAGCAGTGTAGTGTGGTGGCCCACCTGAGAACCACACGGGACAGGGGAGCCCCCACCCCCAGCCAAGGAACCCGAATAGCCCAGACAAGTGGGTTTCCCCCCCAGAGGGGCACAGCCCCTCCACCAAGGGACAGCCAAAGTGCCTCACTAAATGGTTCCTGCTTCCCATGCCACACAACTGGATGAGACACCCCCAACAGGGATTGTCAGACATCCTATACAGGAGCATTCCTACTGGCATCAGATTGGTGTCCCTCAAGGTCAGAGATCCTAGAGGAAGGAGCAGGCACCCATCTTTGCTGTTCTTGAGGCTCCTCAAGTGACATCTCCAGGTGCAGGAGCAAACCAGATGAATAGGGATGAAGTGAACCCCAAGCAAACTGTAGCAGCCCTACAGAAGAGGGACCTGACTATTTAAAGAAAAACAAACAAATGGAAAGCAACAAAAACAGTATCAACAAAAAAGTTCCCACAAAAATCTCATCCAAGGGTCAGCAACCTCAAAGATCAAAACTAGACAAACTTATGAAGATGAGAAAGAATCAATGGAAAAACACTGAAAACCCAAAAGGCCAGAGTGCCTCTTCTCCTCCAAATGATTGCAGCACCTCTCCAGCAAGGGCGCAGAACTGGACGGAGGATGAGATGAACAAATTGACAGACGTAGGCTTCAGAAGGTGGGTAATAACAAACTTCACTGAGGTAAAGGAGCATGTTCTAACCCAATACGAAGAAGCTAAGAACCTTAAAAGGTTAGAGGAGCTTCTAATTAGAATAACCAGTTTAGAGCAGAACATAAATTACCTGATGGAGCTGAAAAGCACAGTGCAAGAACTTTGTGAAGCATATACAAGTATGAGTAGCCAAATTGATCAAGCAAAAGAAAGAATATCAGAGATGGAAGTCTATCTTACTGAAATAAGGCAGGCAGACAAGATTAGAGAAAAAAGAATGAAAAGGAATGAACAAAACCTCCTAGAAATACGGGACTATGTAAAAAGACTGAACCTATGATGGATAGGAGTAACTGAGAAAGACGGGAAGAATGGAATCAAGTTGGAAAACACACTCCAGGATATTATCCAGAAAATTTCCCCAACCTAGCAAGATAAGCCAACATTCAAATTCAGGAAATATAAAACACCGTTAAGATACTCCAAGAGAAGATCAACTCCAAGACACATAATCATTAGATTCTCCAAGGTTGAAATGAAGGAAAACAATGTTAAGGGAAGCCAGAGAGAGGGGCAGGTCACCTATAAAGGGAAGTCCAACAGACTAACAGTGGATCTCTCAGCAGAAACCCTGCAAGCCAGAAGAGAATGTGGACCAATATTCAACATTCTTTAAAAAAAGAATTTTCAACCTAGAGTTTCATATCTAGCCAAAATAAGCTTCATAAGTGAAGGAGAAATTAAATTCTTTTCAGACAAGCAGATGCTGAGGGAATTTGTCACCACCAGGCCTGCCTTGCAAAAGCTCCTCAAGGAAGCACTAAATATGGAAAGGAAAAACTGGTACCAGCCACTGCAAAATATAAAGACCAATGAAACTATGACAAAACGGCATCAACTAGTGTGCAAAATAGCCAGCTAGCACCATGATAACAGGATCAAATTCACACATAACAATATTAACCTTAAATTTAAATGGACTAAGTGCCCAAATTAAAAGACACAGACTGGCAAATTGGATAAAGAGTCAAGAACCATCTGTGTGCTCTATTCAAGAGACCCATTTCATGTGCAAAGACACAACTAGGCTCAAAATAAAGGGATGGAGAAAAATTTACCAAGCAAATGGAAAGAAAAAAAAGTTGCCTAGACTCTGACAAAACAGACTTTAAGCCAACAAAGGTCAAAAAAGACAAAGAAGGGCATTACATAAGGATAAAGGAATCAATTTAACAAGAAGAGCTAACTATCCTAAATATATATGCACTCAATGCAGGAGCACTGAGATTTATAAAACAAATCTTTGGAGACCTATAAAGAGACTTAGAATCCCACACAACAATAGTAGGGGATTTTAACACCCCACTGTCAATATTAGACAGATCACTGAGACAGAAAATTAACAAGGATATTCAGGACTTGAACTCAACTCTCAGATCAAGTGAACCTAATATATATTTACAGAACTCTGCACCTCAAAACAACAGAATATACATTCTTCTTGGTGCCACATGGCACTCACTCTAAAACTGACCACATAATTGGAAGTAAAATACTCCTTAGCAAATGCAGAAGAACTGAAATCATAAAGACTTTCTTAGAACATAGTGCAATCAAACTAGAACTGAAGATTAAGAAACTCACTCAAAACCACACGACTACATGGAAATTGGACAACCTGCTCCTGAATGACTCCTGGGTAAATAATGAAATTAAGGCAGAAATCAAGAACTTCTTTGAAACCAATGAGAAAAAAGACACAATGTACCTGAATCTCTGGGACGCAGCTAAAGCAATGATAAGAGGGAAATTTATAGCACTGAATGCCCACATCAAACAGCTAGAAAGATCTCAGTTTGACTCCCTAACATCACAATTAAAAGAACTAGAGAAACGAGAGCAAACAAATCCAAAAGCTAGCAGAAGACAAGAAATAAGTAAGATCAGAGCAAAACTGGAGATACATACACAATAAACCCTTCAAAAAATCAAAATCCAGGAGCTGGTTTACTGGAAAAATTAATAAAATAGATAGACTGCTAGCTAGAATAATGAAGAAGAAAAGAGAGAAGAATCAAATAGACACAATAAAAAATGATGAGAGGATATCACCACTGACCCTGCAGAAATACAAACTACCATCAGAGAATACTATGAACACCTCTATGCAAATAAACTAGAAAATCTAGAAGAAATGGAAAAATTCCTGGACACATACTCTCTCCCAAGACTAAACCAGGAAGAAGTCAAATCCCTGAATAGACCAATAACTAGTTCTGAAATTGAGGCAGTAATAAATAGCCTACCAACCAATAAAAGCCCAGGACCAGATGGATTCACAGCTGAATTCTAACAGAGGTAAAAGAGGAGCTGGCACCATTCCTTCAGAAATAAGAGAGGACACACACAAAAATGGAAAAACATTCCATCCTCTTGAATAGAAAGAATCTATATTGTGAAAATGGCTATACTGCCCAAAGTAATTTGTAGATTCAATGCTATTCCCATCAAATTACCATTGACATTCTTCACAGAATTAGAAAAATCTACTTTAAAATTCATATGGAACTAAAAAAGGGCCCACATAGGCAAGACAATCCTAAACATAAAGAACAAAGCTGGAGGCATCACGCTACCTGACTTCAAACTATGCTACAAGGGAACAGTAACCAGAACAGCATGGTATTGGTACAAAAACAGACACATAGACCAATGGAACAGAATGAAGGCCTCAGAAATAACATCACACATATACAGCCATCTGATCTTTGACAAACCTGACAAAAGCAAGAAATGGGGAAAGGATTTAACTGGCTAGCCATATGCAGAAAACTTAAACTGGACTCCTCCTTTACACCTTATACAAAATTAACTCAAGATGGATTAAATACTTAAATGTAAAACCCAAAACCACAAAAACCCTAGAAGAAAACCTAGGCAATACCATTCAAGACATAAGCACTGGCAAAGATTTTCTGATGAAATCGCCAAAAGCAATTGTAACAAAAGTTAAAATGAAAAGTGGGATTTAATTAAATTAAAGAGCTTTTGCACAGCAAAATAAACTATCATCAGAGCAAACAGGCAACCTACAGAATGGGAGATTGAAATCTACCCATCTGACAAAGGTCTAATATCCAGTATTTGTAAGGAACTTAAACAAATTTACAATAAACAACAAACAACCCCCTCAAAAAGTGGACAAAGGGTATTTACAGACACTTCTCCAAAGAAGACATTTATTTGGCCAACAAACATGAAGAAAAGCTCAACATCACTGATTATTAGAGAAATGCAAATCCAAACCACCTTGAGATACCTTCTCATGCCAGTCAGAATGGCAATTATTAAAATGTCAAGAAACAACAGATGCTGGAAAGGCTGTGGAGAAATAGGGACACTTTTATATTGTTGGTGGGAATGTAAATTAGTTCAACCATTGTGGAAGACAGTGTGGAGATTCCTCAAGGATCTTGAACCAGAAATATCATTTGACCCAGCAATCCCATTACTGGGTATACACCCAAAGGTATATAGATCATTCTTTTATAATGATACCTGCACGCATAGGTTTATTGCAGCCCTATTCACAATACCAAAGACATGGAACCAACCCAAATGCCATCAAAGATAGACTGTATAAAGAAAATGTGGTACATATACATCATGGAATACTATGCAGCAACAAAAAGGAATGAGATCATGTCCTTTGCAGGGACATGGATGAAGCTGGAAGCCATCATCTTCAGCAAAATAACACAGGAACAGAAAACCAGACCCCACATGTTCTCACTTACAAGTGGGAGTTGAACAATGAGAACACATGGACTTGATCAAGGAGGGCACACACTGGGGCCTGTTGAGGGCGGTACGAGGGGAGGTAGAGCATCAGAAAAAATAGCTAACGCATGCAGGGCTTAAAACCTCAGTGAAAGACCAGGCACAGTGGCTCACACCTGTAATCCCAGCACTTTGGGAGGCCGAGGCAGGTCAGGAGTTCGAGACCAGCCTGGCCAACATAGCAAAACCCCATCTCTACTAAAAATACAAAACTTAGCCTGTAATCCCAGCTACCCAGTAGGCTGAGGCAGGAGAATTGCTTGAACCTGGGAGGTGGAGGTTGCAGTGAGTAGAGATCGCACCACTGCACTCCAGCCTAGGTGACAGAGCGAGACTCTGTCTCAAAAAAAACCTAGGTGATGGATTGTTAGGTGCAGCAAGCCACCATGTCACACATATACCTATGTAACAAACCTGCACATTCTGCACATGTATACATGTATCTCTGAGCTTAAAGTAAAAAAAAAAAAAAAAAAAGGAAAAGTTGCCCTATATTATAAGTTATCAGGGAAATGTAAATTAAAGTGATGAGTTACCACTATACAGCTATTAAAAGGACCAAAATGCAGAAAACTGACAACACCAAATGCTGGTGAGGATGTGGATCAAGAAGAATTCTCATTCATTGCCGGTGAGAACGTAAAATGGTACAGACACTTTGGAAGACAGTTTGACAGTTTCTTACAAAACCAAAGATGAGTTGAAATTTTATGTTTACATGAAAACCTGCACTCAGATGGTTATGTTAGCTTTACTCCTAATTGCCAAAACTTAGAATCAACCATGATATCATTATGTGTGTGGATAAAGTGTGGCACATCCAGACAATGAAATATTATTCAGTGGTAAAAATAAATAAGCTGTTAAGACATGAAGAGACATAGAGTGACATGGAGAA
Source organism: Homo sapiens (assembly GCF_000001405.40). NCBI lineage: Eukaryota > Metazoa > Chordata > Mammalia > Primates > Hominidae > Homo > Homo sapiens. The sequence goes on from NC_000005.10 coordinate 162,333,173, forward strand.
AATGTAAATCCATATTACTAAGTGAAAAAAAGCTAATATGAAAAAGAAACATACTGTATTATTCTGACTGTATGATATTCTGGAAAAGATAATTCTGTGGAGACAGTAAATAGATTAGGAGTAGCCAGGGGTTTAGGGGGAGGGAAAAGAGAATAGGCACAGTACAGAGGATTTTTAGAGTAGTGAAACTACAGTTGACACTTGAACTGTTCAGGTCCACATGTACACATAAATTTCAGAGACCAAAGGTGAATAAAAAGTATGATATTCATAGGATGGGCAACCTGCTTATACAGAGGGCTGATTTTTCAGATATGTGGATTCCACATTGTTGGCTATGGGACTTAAGTGTGTGCAGATTTTGGTATATGCCAGAGTGCTGGAACCAATCCTCCATGGATACCGAGGGATGACTGTATATGATGCTAATATGGTAGATACATATTATTATACATTTGCTCAAACCCATAGAATGTACAGCACCTAGATTGAACACTAATGTAAACTGTGGGCTTTGGGTGATAATGACCTGTCAATGTAGGTTTATTAATTGTAGCAAATGCACCATTCTGGTGAGGAATGTTGATAAGGGGAAAAGCTATGCATGCATGGGGTGGGGAGTATTTGGGAATCCTTTTTACTTTCTGTCAATATTTCTGTGAACCTAAAACTGCTCTGAAAATATTGAAAATCATTTAAAAGGAGGGACATTATATAAAAATAATATTGACTGTACCATATCCTGGCAAGGATGCGGAGCAATGCGAATTCTCATACATTGCTGGTATGAATGTGAAATGGCACAGTTAATTTGGAAAATAATTCGAAAGTTGCTTATAAAGTTAAGTAAACACCATGTGACTTAGCGATCTCACTCTTGGAGTATTTATCATAGAGAAATAAAAACTCATGGTCACTTAACATCTTATGCACAAATGTTTATAGCTGTTGTTTCATACTCATCAAAAATTGGAATAACCCTAATGTCATGAACAAGTGAAGGGATAAAGAAATTGTGGTCCATACGTACAATGTAATGTTCCTCAACAACTAACAGACTATTGATACACATAGAAACTCAGAGCCATTTAAAGGCAGTATGCAGAATGTAAAAGAAATCAGTTTCAAGATTGCTTACTGCATAGTTACATTTATATGATATTCTTGAAAACCCAAATTTACAGTGATTGAAAACAGATCAGTAATTTCCAGGAAATAGGAATGGGGTTGTTAGTATAAATGGATAGCATAAAGAACATTTTGGGGGTAATGAAGCTGTATCCTGATTGTGGTGGTTGTTGCATTACTCTGTCAGTGTATTAAAATGAGTGGAATTGCACAACAAAAAATACTCAGCTCTGCTGTAATAATTTATATAATAAATAATTTTACTTATAAAATTATTGATAATTTATAAAATAAAAGCAAATAAATGAAAAAGAGTGGTTCTTATTGTCATTAGTCTCTTAGCATCACCAAGCCCGTACATTCTGAGTGTGTTCAGGAAACAACACACTATCTAGCCTTGTGCTTGTAATGTAATACACATTTACTAAAAAAGAAGAAATTATTATTGATATTGTGAAAATTGTCTAATATACCATTTCTAAGAATACTGATAGATGACTTCTAATGTAATCCAATAAATTTTGTGTTTCAGTTACCTATTGCTACATAACAACGTTGTTGCTTAAAACAACACTGTATTACTTTACATTATTTTATAGTTGTTATCTTAGCGACCTCTCTGCTGATTTTGCCTGAGCTCATACATGAGTCTACATAAACTGGAGCATTGGCTGGGCTGGAAAACCCAAGATGGTATTGATGACTTGTCTGGCATTAATGCTAGCTGACAATAAGGGCAACTTTTCTCCTCTACGTGATTCTCAACCTCCAATATTCTAGACCAACTTTCTGTGGTAGCCTCAGAGCAATAATTCATGAGGGTGAGAGTGAAAGCCGCAAGGCATCTTCAGGCCGAGGCTCTAGAACTTACACAATGCCATTTTTTCCGCCTACTAATGGTCAAAGCAAATAACAAGGCCAGCCTGGATTGAAGTGGTGGGGAAATAGACTCCACCTCTTCATTGCAGAAGCCACAAACTATCTGGGCTGTATTTTTTCTACCATACCATTTAATTCTTATGTTAACAGGAGTTAAAGAGCAAACTGCTGAGTGTTTATTTCCCGATAACAGGCAAAAGATAGAAATTTCAGACTTTTCTCCAATGCAGTAAGAAGAAAGACTTTCCTTTCCCTTACGTTGTGAATACCATTTTTCATGCGAATAGTCCTATACGCATGATATTGCCATCATGTGTGGTGGCCATCTCTATCTGAAGGGTCTTTTTTATTTCCTAAGAATTAATTGAATATGGTAACCGTTTATTGCATAGCTCAAGCTTGTACCTACTTCCCTACTAGGCAGATCTGATAATCTGTTAACACCTAGAGTTTCAATATATCTCAGAGGAAAAAAGAATCACACTAACATAGGAATGAGACTCATTAAATTCACCCTGTCTTGGTTAGAAACTGGAAATAGTGTTCCTCACTTGTTTGTCAGCTAAAAGAGAGAATTCTTATGATTAAAAAGTTGGAGAATTATTTGTACTTTGCAAAAGGTGCTAAGTCGTTTTCCCAAAGGAAGTAATTTCCAGATTTCCATTTTTAGAACTGCTTGTCCCCACATTTTCCCTGAACATATTTTTCTTTTCAGTCCTCACTTTCACATCTCTATTGTCTTGGTTTTAATATAATTAATTACTTATTTTAGTATTATTTTTGTGGGATACTTTTTTGACATATAGATGGCTTATAAATATATATACAGGGATGCTGTGGTTGTATTGATGTGTAAAACAGTGCAGATGAAGAGCCATCTGTTTCCATAGGCAAGTATAAATTTCCAGAGTAACATTCAGGTTGATTTTAGTACCTTTTTTTTTTCCAGTGTAACAACAACTTTCAAAAGAATGTTCACTTGCATTAAGAAATTCAGAAGTAAGAGCATTTCTTAGAAATATGAAATGACCTTCTGTTCTCAAATGTATTCTGTGTCTAATATTATAGTCATTTCCTTCCTTGTTTCTACCTGTAAAGTAATGCTCTGATTAGTGCCATCCTTGTACTTTGCTGTTAGGTACAATAAGCCACTTAATATGGACAATAATGAAATGGTGAAAATTAGAAGCTTTGGGAAAAATTACATGTAGAGCAACATTTAATATTCATAATGGCTGGATACAGCAATTGGAGGTAGTGTTTTAAATGAAATAAAAGATCATTTGACCACCAGCATACTTTTATTAAGAAGACTGGGCAAAATAATTTTTTCTTTCAATTGCTGGCTTAGACAATTGGCAGGAAGTGAATGGATATATCATGACTTCTGCTTGTAATTAGTATCTAAAATCTACTTGCTTTGTTGAGTATATTAGCACTACCATTGGTTTTAGAATCTAGTCCTGGCATCCATATATTGTCTTTTCAATTAATTAGGTGCCAGTTTTAGCCAGCCAATTGATCTACCAAAACAAGATAAAACATCAGGAGCTCATAAATTGAATGGTTTACTATTGCAAAGGAATTAGGTCATTCAGGAATACATTCATCAGAGCATGGATAATAGAAGCAATCTTAGGAGGAGGCCAAGAATGGGCCTTGAGGTCTCTGGTTGATATGGGGTTGTTTGGTGTAAAAATAACCTCTGAAACATTTGTAACAGTGAGTCTGCTTTAAGTGAAGGATCTCCTTAATTTGTATGGTGCACTATACCATCCTAAGACTAACAAAATAAGATAAAGTTCTTAGTTTTTCCAAATTTATTATCTCCCATCATTTTGTTTTATAATACATAATTGTATTTCTCATACACACATCATTGATTTGAGGAGAGTGTTCAGCCATTAAATATCCCCTTTCTCAAAAAGATTTTATTCTTCATTAGGATATCTCCAGTTTTCTCAGAAATTTGGTTGAACACTGTGCTTTTCAAAGAGCCATTAAGAGAATTAGGTACTGTGTCCCAGAGGCAGATTTCTCAGTAGAAAGCACAGTGGGATAATCCTCTCCCTTGCTCTGTTTATTCTTCCTAATCTTTTATTAGGAGTCTTTGGAGTCATTTCACACTGTTGATATTTACTGAGCTTGTCATCATCTGAAAGCTTGTCCTTTGTTGCTGTGGATTTCTGTCAAGCCAAATTTCTTCTATCTAATATTATATATGTTTGTAGGTTTAACATTCATTTGTGTGCATGTGGTCGGGTGCGGGGGGCGTGGTAGAGAAAGATGTTCAGTATTTTTCTTCGTGATATTTGAAATCTTTTGAATGCTGATATTGCCAACTATGGTATTAATTATGCCTTGTGACTTTGCATAATGAATAAAAGATTTATTTTTCTCCTTCCTGAATTATAAGAATAAATGTATGAGGTACACTTGAATAAAGTGAAAAATAGATTTCTAAAAATATCTTATTTGCTATTAATATTCAGTAAAACCTGAGTCACAGAAAACGAAAGAGATTGCAAATTTGACAAGAAAAATTGATCTTTTGGAAGTCTACTTTTAGAGAAAAGTCAAACACAAGATTAAAAGTCAATATAGTATGGCTGAGAAAACTATATATGCATAACTAACACAGTGCAACTTTCCTAACATCCTTTTCTGTGTTCTAAACTACTCTATGAATCTTTCTACCTATTATACCTAGTATTATATTCAATGGAAAATGATGTTCAGAATATCATAAGCATAAGACTACAGAATTGTTCACAATGAAGTATTAAGAGAATTTCACTGTGCAGCACTTTCAAAACCAGAAAAGCAGGTGTAAATGTTTATTACGTTTTATCCTTATCTAAACAAAACATTTCATATTTCAAGTGTCCCCATTTCATTTTCCTCTATTCATTTTGACTTCTTACACATTGAAGTTTTTCTTTTTTTATTTTATTCTCTTTTACTAATTTCAAACTCAATACTTATAGACATGGTATATATACATATTTGTCTCTTCTTTTCACTTGGGAACTAATCTTGCTAAAGATTCTGGAACTTACAAAATGTATTGGTTCATTTTGAACATAATAATCTTCAGAATAAGGACATGTATAAAATCAATTTATTCATACAATAGACATGAATTCAATGCTTACCATGGATTTTATTATTGTGTTGGAGATCAAAGAAGTGCCAGGTGTAAATGCAACCCAATTTCAACTACAGACTAGATTCTTAATATTTTTTAAAAGTCTCAACTGTGTTACAAATTCTCATTTGACATTTTAATCAACCAACTTTTATTCACTTTTTAGTTTATTCATATTTAAATGACAATTATAGGAGAATGGCAGAATCTAATGTACACAGAGAAGTTTGTCTTAAGTCCCAATGAACCAATCTAAATGTAATCTGAGCCATCTAAAAAGTAAAAACTAAACTCTGTTAGTCTACAGTTGAAACCCACAAATTTGAGGCTACATGTGTATATACCACCTTGCAAAAAAATGTTCTCAGTAATAAATAATCAAAGCAGAAACAAAAGAAAAATCACAGTATGATTTTATTAGCCATCTATGTAGAAAGCAAACATATTTATTTTAGAAATTGTATTTATCTGTCTATTCTCAACTGAGAGTTACCTCTGGTGCATTTCAACATCATCAATAAAAGGAAGCAATTTGGTCTAGAAGAAACTGTTTCAGTTTAGGGATCTAGAAACTTGGTGCTGATCCAAAATTTGTAAATAGCTTGGTATGGGAACATGAGACAATTATTTTGAGTTTCTGGCTCTCAGATTTCTTATTTATAAAAGGAAGAAGTTGCACTGATCTTCTCCGTCTTCTCCACATACCAAGAGCAAGTCCCAAAGCTCCACATAGCATCCTCAGGAATGAAGGAGATCCCAGATGGTTCTGCATGTCCTTGGAAAGGCTTCCACTTCTCCTTCTAGGGTATAACTAATGTTATCTGTATTACGGTCTGAATGCTTGTGTTCCCTCAAAATTCATATGTTGAAGTCCTACCAAGGTGATGGTATTAGGAGGTGGAATCTTTGGGAAGTGATTAGTTCATGAGAGTGATGTCTTTATCAAAGGGAATAATAACCTTATAAAAGAGGCTAGAGGAATCCTTTTTCCCTTCCACCATGAAGGACAGAGTGAAAGACAGCCATGTATGACCCAGAAAGTGGGTCATTACCAGACATCATATCTATTGGCACCTTAATCTTGAAATTCCCCACCTCCAGAACTGTGAATAATGGATTTCTGTTGTTTATAACCCATCAAGTCTGTCTAGGGTATTTTGTTATAGCAGTAAAAATGGGCTAAGACACCGTGAAATCTCCAAAGACTAATCTTATTCTTTTTCTTTTATTGTATATGTCAATAATCACTAGAAGCCTGGCATATTAAGATCATCCTTTAAACCTTGGTTCTATCCATGTATTGAGTAAGTTATGAGGCAAACCCTTTACCTCTACTCTGGCCAACATTTTCTGTTCCTTTTGACTCTTTTATTTTTCCTTATAGTATTTATCACCATCTCTTATACCATATATTTTATTTTTATCAATGCTTATCTTCCCACAGATAGTCTTTACAAAGACAGAGCTTCTTTTTTAAAACAACTATTATTTTTAGAATACTTTTAGATTTATAGAAAAATTTTAAAGATAGAAGAGTTTCCAAATACGCCACACCCAGTTTTCCCTATTATTAACATAATAATCAATATGTATTCATTGTAATATTTCTTACAATTAAAATAATATTCATATATTATTAACTAAAATGTATTTCACCTACTCTTTACCTAATGTCCTTTTTCTGTTCTTGGACCCAGCCAAGATATCAAATTACATTTAGTCCTTGTGTTTCCTTAAGTTCCTCTTGGCCATGAAGTTTCTCAAACTTTCCTTGTTTTTGATAATTTTGACAATTTTGAGTAATACTGGTAAAATATTTTGTAGAATGTTTCCTGAATGATATTTGTCTAATATTTTTCACAGGATTGGAGGAGAGTTGTGGATTTGGAGGGGGGAGAGCACAGGTAATGTGCTATTCTTATCACATCACATAAACGGTGTATACTGTTAACATGGCTTATTACTGCTGATGCTGGTCTTGATCAGCTGGGTGAAGCAGTGTCTGTCAAGTTTCTCCACTGCAAAATTACTCTTTTTTTTCTCATTTCTGTTTTGTTGTCTTTGGAAGGAAGTTGCTATGCATAGCCCAAATTTAGGGAGTGGAGAGATGTTCCACCTCCTTCAGAACATAGTATCTACAAAAATCATTTGGGATTTTTCTACACAGAAAATTTATCTATACTTTCATTATTTATTCAATTATTTATTTATATTTGTATAGACTCACAGATATTTATTATACTTTGGGTTATAATCCATTACCATATTTATTTTATTGGCTCCTATGTCTTTTGATATACTCCCATAATTTTTTTTTAGGTATTTCCTTACTTTCTGGCACTACAAGATGTTTCAGCCTCATCTTTTATATTTTCTGTCTTAGTCTTAGAATCAACCATTTCTGTATGGAGCTCTGGTTCCTTCCATTGAATACCAGCATTTTAAACCAAGATATGGATGTTAGGCATGCTCTTTCCTACTGGAGCACTCTTGCTTCTAGGCCCTCCCAAGTGACGAGGGGTGGGACCTTTGGAAGGTAGTTGGGTTTAGATGAGGTCGTGAAGGTGAGATTCTTAGCATGGGACTTAGAGAGACCAGAGAGCTTGTTTTACAAACAATCAGCAATAACTCCTTTAAGCAATCAGCAAAATGGTAGACCATCTATAAGGCAGGAAGAGGCCCCTCACCAAAAATGAAATTTGTCAACACCTTGATCCAAAACTTCACAGCCTCTAGAACTGTGGGAAATAAATGTCTGTTGTTTAGGCCACCCAGTCTGTGGTATTTTCTTACAGCACCCTGAACTGACTAAGAGCGTACTCAGTATATATTTTTGAATGAATGAATAGAAAAATGATTTTTGAGTTCCTTTCTAGTAAAAAGAAACACCATGATACTATGTAAGTTGTTTGGTGATATAATTTTCTTTTGCCTACTTCCACTTTCTCTTCCAAAAAGTCGTGGTAGAAAATAAAATAGGTACTGCTTTAAATTATGATTGTGATAAAACTGTTTCCCAACAAGCTTTTCAGAAACGAATTTGGAGGTGTGTCATTTATAGTGACTGTTGCATTGATTAAAAATAGTATATAAGAAACTTTAGGTTTAGGAGAACGTTTTCTTCCACGATTTGCATGGTGTCAATTTATGCAGCATTTCTCAAAGTAAATTAAAAGTTACCTTTAAATTATTCATGCTATTAATGAGGTTTAAGCCTAAGAGAGTAGACGTAAAATACTTCACATAAAAAGAACATACAATTACAGGCCTCCCTGAGCAGATATTGAGCAGATATCTTGGTGCATGGAAACAGGGTTTTCAGTCTTTCCTATTTTAAAGAGTTCCCAGTTGAAGACTGGGCAAAACAAAGGCAAAAATTTGCCTGCAGCCCTTTTTACTCACATAATTCACACACAATTTAGTTTTGAGTTAATCTGAAGTCGTTTTATTGTTAAGTTATAATTTATGGTGTATATCCAAAGCAATGACACTAAGTTAAATAAAGTATCATAGAAAAGTTATTATTAGTTTTTTCATTTACCTTATTACTAAAGACATCAGTGTAAAACTGGTTTAAATTCAGATATAATGCACAAGACCATGTTTGTTCTGACAGAATGACAAGCCCATAAGCTTTCCTAATCCTACCAGGAAAACTTTTAAGACTTGATCATCAATCTCAAGTCCTAGTGCAAGTTAGAGATACGATTCTCAAGGTCATAATTACTCTTGAATTAGTCTAACCAGAAATTCTAGTCTACATAAAACACTCCAGTATTTCTAAGACTAAGCAATCAACAGAATCACAGAAGAATTTGGAATAAAATCAGTTAGGATTTTTGTAAATGACAAGCCACAGTTGGGTTGGTTTTGTAAATCTGTACACAGAATGTCACTCTCCCTGAAGTTTGTCATAAAAAGAGCATTTATATAATGTGTGGCATAAAATACCCCATTTTACTTGTAGATATTAACAAACCTTCTTTAAAACATCTTTAGATACTAAATAATATTACTCTCATGAAAAACTTCTCTCTGGTAATTCCTGCACACCACCCCTGGCACACACACACTGGTTATTATTTCCTTACAGCTTTTATTTTCTCTTCACATCCCAAGGCTACTCTCTATTTTTTTTTATTCTGCATAGAATTCTAGATATGCTAGAGAATTCAGTGAAAATTGCATTTCAAATAAAAAAATTAATAATACCTTTTAGTATTAGTATGTTCCAAGTATTATGTGGGACATAGTTACACTAAATCTATTATTCGTAACTTATCTAAAAGACAAATTTAACTGGATGTCCTGTGTTTTAATTTGCTAAAACCCTAAGTCTAATGTTACACACAGCACTTACCATTTCAGTTGTTTAGTATGTTTTTAATGTCCTATATAAAATGAAAATCTAATTAATCAAACATTTTTTGAGCAATAAGACATTTTAAAAACTCAATGTAAATAATCACTTTGAACTTTAATTATATATACAAAATTATTTTGAATTCATACTGTGCTGACTAAGCCTTAGTCCAATTTTTTTTTAAAGTTCTCAACTTTGCCTCAAAGGACTTTGTTCCCTTTCTTTTATGTTCCCATAAAAAAATGAACATCTAGAACCCATTGGATAGTTTCTCATGTAATATTGTCATATTTCATTAATATGCCTGTCTTCTTGTTGAATTATAAGCTCCTTGGAAAAAATAGATATTTTATCTTGGTATCACTTAGATTATTTTACCTTCATATGTTTTAATGTACCACTTTCCAGTTAATTGAATTAGAAAAATCAGGCTCCACTGGATGGCAGCTAAGCATTGGTACTCCAGTCATTTCAAAATGGCAGACAGTAACTGCATTGCAAATCAGTTAACGGTCTCATGACTGCTTGTTAGGTCAAGGCAGAAAATAAACCAAATAACAGATGTTGATAGGAAGACTACTTCAACTTAGACTGCCTTTGGGAAAATATGTATATTATGCTTTTTTCTGGGCCATGGGAAGTAGTTGAATTCATTAAAATAGATGATACAGTCACCATAATAATTTCCAATAGAAAATTTGAAAAATAAAACTATAAGTCTTGTTATATTTTCTTTTCACAGATGATAATCTTCAAATATTTTGGTCTTATTTTATTCTTAAGAATAATGTAAAGTAATGAAAATGGCTGTTTAAAGTTTTTTAAATACCTTAAGATATCTAGGATGAATTGGCTGTGTTGAAATATTTTTATGAAATATTTACTTTTTATTGTACTTATTCCAAAAAAGTTTAGTTTGGCTCATAGAAGACTTGAAGCCATGATAACCAAAAGTGATTTTGAATCCATTTGACACACACATATATATATATATATATAGTTTTTATTATAAGTAATATATTTTGATATAAGCAACATGATGTGACCTAAGGTTGTTAATGGTCAGTGTAAAGTATTTAAACCCAAAGTGTAGCACAAATCTGCTATTTTGCCCTATCTTCCATTTTCTTTTCTTCTAGTACAACTCTGATTTTATTTGGGGGACCATACATTTCTTATTAGATAGAATCTAGGTGGAACTGTCAATCAAATTCCTTGTACTTCTCTCAGAGGATAGATACTTCATGTAAACCAGGACAAATAATATCCTTTCCCTAGAATGCACACAAAAGCTGAAAATAGTTATGAGTCTCCTTTAATCTTGGCTTCCCACATCCAAATAGCTTCATTGGTTCCTGTCCTGTTTGATGCCTGGTTCTGTAACGTTTTCTTTGATGTGTGGAGTTATTTCATATCCTCCAGAAAATTGTTTGTTTATTTATTTATTTATTTATTTTTATTTTTTTTTTTGAGACAGAATCTCACTCTGTTGCCCAGACTGGAGTGCTGTGGCTCATTGCAACCTCCACCATCAGGGTTCAAGCGATTCTCTTGCTTCAGTCTCCCGAGTAGCTGGAATTACAGGTGCCTGCCACCACGCCTGGCTAATTATTGTACTTTTAGTAGAGATAGTTTCAACATGTTGGCTAGGCTGGTCTCGAACTTCTGACCTCAAGTGATTCACCTGCCTCGGCCTCCCAAAGTGCTGGGATTACAGGCATGAACCACTGCACCTGGCCTAGAAAATTGTTTATTTACTTGAGCAGAACAAGTTTGGTTGCTTGAAACTAAAGAACTTTAGTGAAAACATGTGCTTATACATTCCCTTAAGACAGGAGAAAAAAAAATAAGATGTGAGTAATAAGGAGACTGTATTAGTTTTCTTTGTGCTTCCATAATAAAGTACCTCAGAATGGATGACTTTAACAACAGAAATTGATTTTCTCACAATTCTAGAGGCTAGGAACCTGCGATAAAGGTGTCAGCTGGGTTGGTTTCTTCTGCGACCTCTTTTTCACTTCTAGATGACTGTTCTCTCCCTGTGTCCTCACATGGTCTTTTCTGTTTATGTGTCTGCGTCATGATTTTCCCTTATTATAAGAATACTAGTCGTATTAGATTAGAACCAACTTAGTGATGCCATTTTAACTTAATTACCTTGTTAAAGACTATCTCTGAATACAGTCATATTCTAAGATACAGAGGTTAGGGCTTCAACATGAATTTGGAATTTGGGGTGGGAGGTGAGATTCCACAATATCAGAGACTATTGTTGTTGGGTTGAGAGGCAAGGCCCCATTACTTGCCTGGATGACCACAGAGCTGAGAGAGAGAGACAAAGAAATAGAGACAGAGAAAGAGAGAAAGAAAAATTTTAAAGATGCAGAAAGAGAAATAATAGAGAAAGGCTTAGGGTGCTTAAATGTCACAGAAATCCAGTAATATTCAAATTGCTGATGAATTTAATAATTTATTCATTGCAAAGACTACAAAGCTGCAAGATGTGTAGTTTTCCCCATTCGTTTGCATAAATAACTTGTATAGGCCTAAAATAGTTACAAAAAATAGCTCTAAAACTCTAATTCCTTGGAAACAGACACACTGCATTCTCTCTGAAAGCTGAGAAATAAAATGTTAAATTAACACTTGTAGAGACACCAATTATGTTAGATAGTTCTATCATTTCTTTTAAATAACTTTAAATATGACCCACAGTAAGCAGTCATTTTATATTATGACTCAATGTTGTAAAACTAAGACAGAAGTTTAATGAACCAATGTTCTATCTATCCGTGTGTGATGCACTCTTCTTATCTTTCTTTGATGTGATTTTATTTTATTTTTAAAAGACTGAGTCCCGCTCTGTTGCCCAGGCCCAGGCCAGGCTGTAGTGCAGTGGTGTTATCACAGCTCACTGTAACTCTGAACTCCTGGACTCAAACAATCCTCCCACCCTCAGCCTCCCAAAGTGCTAGGACTACAGGCATGCGCCACTACTCCTGGCCAACTTTGTAAAAATAATAATTACTAACTATTGATTTCGTGACCCACTAATAGGTCACAATCTGCAGTTTGAAAAATACTAGAAAATGGAAATTGCAGAAATGGTACAATTACACATATTATTGTAGAATGTGAAAAAAAATCTATTTTTCTATCATCTGTATGTATGTACTTATTATCAGAATACTCCAATGCAAATTTCCCATTATTCTTCAATATATGCATAGCTGTTCTGTTTTTCTGCCAAACCTTGAGCAATAGTGATAGAGTAAAAACTAGGATAAAATCCATTTTATTCTCTCTTTTTTAAATTATTATTATACTTTAAGTTCTGGGGTACATGTGCAGAGCATGCAGGTTTGTTTCATGGCTATACACGTGCCATGGTGGTTTGCTGCACCCATCAACTCATCATCTACATTAGGTATTTCTCCTAATGCTATCCCTCCCCTAGCGCCCCATGCACCGAAAGACCCCAGTGTGTGATGTTCCCTTCCCTGTGTCCATGCATTCTCATCGTTCAACTCCCACTTATTAGTGAGAATATGCAGTGTTTGGTTTTCTGTTCTTGTGTTACTTTGCTGAGAATGATGGTTTTCAGATTCATCCATGTTGCTACAAATGACATGGACTTATCCTTTTTTATGGCTACATAGTATTCCATGGTATATATGTGCCACATTTTCTTTATCCAGTCTATCATTAATTGGCATTTGGGTTGGTTCCAAGTCTTTGCTATTGTGAATAGTGCAGCAATAAACATACGTATGCATGTGTCTTTATAGTAGAATGATTTCTAATCCTTTGGATATATACCCAGTAATGGGATCGCTGGGTCAAATGGTATCTCTGGTTCTAGATCCTTGAGGAATCACCACACTGTCTTCCACAATGGTTGAACTAATTTACACTCCCATTGACCATGTAAAAGCGTTCGTATTTCTCCACTTCCTCTTCAGCATCTGTTGTATCCTTTTTAATGATTGCCGTTCTAACTGGCATGAGATGGTATCTTATCGTGCTTTTGATTTGCATTTCTCTATTGGCCAGTGATGAGGAGCTTTTTTTCATATGTTTGTTGGCTGCATAGACGTCTTCTTTTGAGAAGTGTCTGTTCGTATCCATTGTCCACTTTTTGATGGGGTTGTTTTTTTTTTCTTGTAAACTTGTTTCAGTTCTTCGTAGATTCTGGATATTAGCCCTTTGTCAAATGGATAGATTGCAAACATTTTCTCCCATTCTGTAGGTTGCCTGTTCACTCTTTAGTTTCTTTTACTGCACAGAAGCTCTTTAGTTTAATTAGATCCCATTTATCAATTTTGGCTTTTGTTGCCATTGCTTTTGGTGTTTTAGTCATGAAGTCTTTGCCCATGCCTATGTCCTGAATTGTGTTGCCTAGGTTTTCTTCTAGGAGTTTTATTGTTTTAGGTCTTACGTTTAAGTCTTTAATCCATCTTCAGTTGATTTTTGTATAAGGTGTAAGGAAGGGGTCCGATTTGTATTCTGCATATGGCTAGCCAGTTTCCCAACACCATTTATTAAATAGGGAATCCTTTCCTTATTGCTTGTTTTTGTCGGGTTTGTCACAGATCAGGTGGTTGTAGATGTGTGATGTTATTTCTGAGACCTCTGTTCTGTTCCATTGGTCTATGTATCTGTTTTGGTGCCAGTACCATGCTGTTTTTGTTGCGGTAGCCTTGTAGTATAGTTTGAAGTCAGGTAGCATGATGTCTCCAGCTTTGTTCTTTTTGCTTAGGATTGTCTTGGCTATGCAGGCTCTTTTTTGGTCCCATACGAAATTTAAAGTAGTTTTTTCTAATTGTGTGAAGAAAGTCAATGGTAACTTGATGGGGATAGCATTGTATTACCTTGGGCAGTATGGCCATTTTCACAATAGTGGTTCTTCCTATGAATGATCATGTTTTTTATTTTGTTTGTGTCCTCTTTTATTTCCTTGACCAGTAATTTGTAGTTCTCCTTGAAGAAGTCCTTCACATTCCTTGTAAGTTGTATTCCTAGGTATTTTATTCTCTCCGTAGCAATTGTGAATGGGAGTTCACTCATGATTTGTCTCTCTGTTTGTCTATTATTGGTGTATGGGAATGCTTGTGATTTTTGCACATTCACTTTGTATCCTGAGACTGCTAAAGTTGCTACCAGCTTAAGGAGATTTTGGGCTGAGACTGTGGGGTTTTCTAAATATTCACTTTTTTAAAAAATGGGGTTTAAGTTTATATGTTTAGGAGGTACATGTGCAGGTTTTTCTTTTAATTTTATTTTTTATTTCAATAGGTTTTTGGGGAACAGGTGGTGTTTTGTTACACGGATAAGTTCTTTAACGGTGATTTCTGAGATTTAGGTGCACCCTGCACCATGTATGAGTGCTCCCATGTATGAGTGAGAATATATGATATTTGGATTTCCATTCCTGAGTTACTTCACTTAGAATAATGGTCCCCAATTCTATCCAGGTTGCTGTGAATGCCATTATTTTGTTCTTTTTCATGGCTTAATAGTATTCCATGGTATGTATATGCCATATTTTCTTTATCCACTCAACGATTTATGGGCATTTGGGCTGATTCCATATATTTTCAGTTGAGAATTATGCTGCTGTAAACATGCATGTGCAAGTAACTTTTTCATATAATAACTTCTTTGCTTCTGGGTAGATGCCCAGTAGTGGGTTTGCTGGATCAACTGGTAGATCTCCTTTTAGTTCTTTAGGGAATCTCCACACTGTTTTTCATAGTGGTTGTACTAGTTTACTTTCACATCAGCAGCATAAAAGTGTTCCCTTTTCCCCACATTTATGCCAACATCTATTATTTTTTAATTTTTTTGATTATGGCCATTCTTGTAGGAGTAATGTGGTATCACATTGTGGTTTTGATTTGCATTTCCCTGATAAATAGGGATGGTGAGATTTTCTTCATATGTTTGTTGTCCATTTGTATGTCTTCCTTTGATAATTTTCTATTCATGTCCCTAGCCCACTTGAAGGGATTGTTTGTTTTATACTTGCTGATTTGTTTGAGTTTCTTGTAGGTCCTTGGATATTAGTGCTTTGTCAGTTGCTTAATTTTTGAAAACTCTTTCCCACTACATGGGTTGTCTGTTTTGATTACTGCTGTGCAGAAGCTTTTTAGTTTAATTAAGTCCCATCTATTCATCTTTATTTATTTATTTATTTTGCATTTGCTTTTGGGTTCTTGGTCATAAAGTCTTTGCATAAGCCAATGTCTAGAGGGGTTTTTCTGATGTTATCCTCTATGATTTTTATGATTTCGGGTCTTAGATTTAAGTCTTTGATCCATTTTCAGTTTATTTTTGTATGAGGTGAGAGATGAGGGTCCAGTTTCATTCTTCTACATATGGCTTGCCAATTATCCCAGCACCATTTGTTGAATAGGGTGTTCTTTCCCCCCTTTATGTTTTTGTTTGCTTTGTCAAATATCAATTGGCTACATTTGCCTTTATTTCTGGTTTCTTTGTTCTGTTCTATTGGTCTATGTGCCTATTTTCATATTAGTACCATGCTGTTTTGGTGACTATGGCCTTATAGGGTAATTTGAAATCAGGTAATGTGATGCTTCCAGATATTTTTTTTCTTTTTGCTTAGTCTAGCTTTAACTATGTGGGCCCTTTTTTGGTAGTAGTATAGTTTGAAGTTGGGTAATGTGATGTTTCCAGATTTGTTATTTTTGCTTACTCTTGCTTTAGCTATGTGGGTTGTTTTTTGGTTCCATATAAATTTTAGTATTTTTTTTTTGGTTCTGTGAAGAATGATGGTGATATTTTGATGGGGATTGCATTGAAGCTGTAGATTGCTTTTGGCTGTCTGGTCATTTTCACAACATTGATTCTACCGTCCATGAGCATGGGATGTGTTTCCGTTTTTTTTGTGTGTGTGTGTGTGTCATCTGTGATTTCTTTCAGCAGTGTTTTATAGTTTTCCTTGTAGAGGTCTTTCGAGTCCTTGGTTAGGTATATTCCTAAGTTTTACGTTTTTATTTTTTTTTCCGCTATTGTAAAAGGGGCTGAGTTTGTGATTTGATTCTGAGCTTGGTTGTTGTTGGTATATAGCAGTATTACTGATTTGTGTACATTAATTTTGCATCCTGAAACTTTACCGAATTCATTTGTTAGTTCTAGGAGCTTTTTGGAGGAGTCTTTAGGGCTTTCTAGGTATGATCATGTATTGGTGAACATAGACAGTCTGACTTCCTGTTTACCAATTTGGATGCCCTTTATTTCTTTCTCGTGTCTGATTGCTCTTGCTAGGACTTCCAGTACCATGTTGAATAGAAGTGGTGAAAGTGGGCATCCTTGCATTGTTCCATTTCTCAAGGGGAATGATTTTAACTTTTCTCCATTCAGTATTATGTTGGTTATGGGTTTGTTTTATTACCTTATGGTATGTTCCTTCTATGCTGATTTCGCTGAGGGTTTTAGTCATAAAGGAATACTGGATTTTGTCAAATGCTTTTTCTGCATCTATTAAAAGGATCATGTGATTTTTGTTTCAATTCTGTTTATGTGGTGTATCACATTTATTGACTTGCTAAATCATCCCTACATCCCTGATATGAAACCCTCTTGATCATGGTGAATTATCCTTTTCATATGCTTTTGGTATCAATTAGCTATATATTGTTGAGGATTTTCACATCTATGTTCATCAGGGATATTGGTCTGTAATTTTCTTTTTTTGTTATGTCCTTTCCTTTTCTTTCCTTTCCTTTCTTTTGTTATGTTTGGGTATTAGTGTGATACTGGCTTCATAGAATGATTTAGGGAAGATTCCCTCTTTCTCTAACATTTGGAATAGTGTTCCAATAGGTTGGTACCAATTCTTCTTTGAAAGTCTGATGGAATTCAGCTGTGAATCCGTCTAGTCCTGGAATTTTTTTTTGTGGGCAATATTTTTTAATTTCTATTTCAATCTGGCTGGTTGTTTTTGGTCTGCTCAGAGTTTCTATTTTTTTCTGGTTTAATTTATGGTTATACTTCCAGGAATTTATCTATCTCTTCTAGGTTTTCTAGTTTATGTGCATAAGGTGTTCATAGTGGCCTTGAATTATCTTTCATATTCCTGTAGGATTAATTGTAATATCTACAGTTTCATTTTTTATTTGGATCTTCTCTCTTCTTTTCTTGGTTAATCTCACTAATGGTCTATCAATTTTGTATATCTTTTCAAAAAACCAGCTTTCTGTTTCATTTATCTTTTGTTGTTGTTTCAATCTTCGCTATTTCTTTTTTTGTTGTTGGGTTTGGATTTGGTATTTTCTTGTTTCTCTAGCTCCTTGAGGCATGATCTTAGATTGTGTATTTGTGCTCTTTCAGAATTTATTATGTAGGCATTCAGTGCTATCAACTTTCCTCTTAGCACTCCTTTTGCTGTGTCCCATACATTTTGATAGTTTGTGTCACTATAATTCAGTTCAAATAATTTTTAAAATTTTCATCTTGACTTAATTGTTGACCCAACCATCATGTAGGAGCAGGTTATTTAATTTCCATGTATTTACATGGTTTTGAGCATCCTTTTGGAGTCTATTTTCAATTTTATTCCACTATGGTGTGAGAGAGTACTTGATATAATTTCGATGTTCTCAAATGTATTGAGGCTTGTTTTGTGGCCTATAATATGTTCTATATTGGAGAATGTTTCATATGCTGATTAATAGAATGTATTAAGTCCATTTGTTCTAGGGTATAGTTGATGTCTATTGTTTCTTTGTTGACTTTTTGTCTTGATGAGCAGTCTAATGCTGTCAGTGGAGTATTGAAGTCCCCCATTATTATTGTGTTGCTGTCTATCTCATTTTTCAGGTCTGGTGATAATTATTTCATAAATTTGGGAACTCCAGTGTTAGGTGCATACATATTTAGGATTATGATAGTTTCCTGTTGGACTGGCCCTTTTATTATTATACAATGTCCCTCTTTGCCTTTTTTAAGTGTTGTTGCTTTAAAGTCTGTTTAGTCTGATATAAGAATAGCTACTCCTGCTCACTTTTGGTGTCCATTTGCATGGAATATCTTTTTCCAGTCCTTTCCCTTAAGCTTATGTGAGTCCTTATGTGTTAGGTGAATCTCTGGAAGACAGCAGATTTTTGGTTGGTGAATTCTTATCCATTTTGCCATTCTGTATATTTTAAGTGAAGCATTTAGGCCATTTACATTCATTGTTAATATTGAGAAGTGAGGTACTATTCTATTCAACATTCTAGTTTTGCCTGAATACCCTTTTTTCCCATTGTGTTATTATTTTATAGGCCCTGTGAGATTTATGTTTTAAGATGGTTCTATTTCGGTATATTCCAAGGGTTTGTTTCAAGATATAGAGTTCCATTTAGCAGTTCTTGTATTGCTGGCTTGGTGGTGGCAAATTCTCTCAGCATTTGCCTGAAAAAGACTGTATATTTTCTTCATTCATGATGCTTAGTTTCACCAGATATGAAATTCTTGGCTGGTAATTGTTTTGTTGAAGAGGGCTAAAGATAGGACTGCAATCTCTTCTAGCTTGTAGGGTTTCTGATGAGAAATCTGCTGTTTACCTGTTAGGTTTCCCTTTATATTTACCTGATGCATTTGCCTCATAGCTTTTTTTTTTTTTTTTTTTTTTTTTTTTGAGACGTAGTCTCGTTCTGCCTCTCAGGCTGGAGTGCAGTGGCGCGTTCTCGGCTCACTGCAAGCTCCACCTCCTGGGTTCACGCCATTCTCCTGCCTCATCCTCCAGAGTAGCTGGGACTACAGGCACCCACCACCACGCCCAGCTAATTTTTTGTATTTTCAGTAGAGACAGCGTTTCCAGTGTTAACCAGGATGGTCTCGATCTCCTGACCTCATGATCCACCCACCTCAGCCTCCCAAAGTGCTGGGATTACAGGCATGAGCCACTATGCCTGGCCTGCCTCATAGCTTTTAAGATTCTTTGCTTCCTCTTAAATTTAGATAACCTGATGACAATGTACCTGGGTGATTATCTTTTTGTGATGAATTTTCCAGGTGTTCTTTGAGCTTCTTGTATTTGGATGTCTAGGTCTTTAGCAAGGCCAGGGAGGTTTTCCTCAATTATTCCCTCGAATATGCTTTCCAAAATTTTAGATTTCTCTTCTTCCTCAGGAACACCAATTATTCTTAGGTTTGGTCATTTAACATAATCCCAAGCTTCTTGGGGGCTTTTTTCATTTTTTAAATTATTTTTTTCTCTGTCTTTGTTGGATAGGGTTAATTCAAAAGCTTTGTCTTCAAGCTCAAAGAACTTCAAGAGAAGTTCTTTCTTCTCCTTTTTCAATTCTATTGC
Organism: Homo sapiens; assembly: GCF_000001405.40. Taxonomy (NCBI): domain Eukaryota; kingdom Metazoa; phylum Chordata; class Mammalia; order Primates; family Hominidae; genus Homo; species Homo sapiens. The sequence continues at coordinate 162,353,009 of NC_000005.10, forward strand.
TGAGACTTTTCAGGGTATTTTGCATTTCTCTAAGTGTGTTCTTCATTTTCAGAAGTTGTGATTACTTTTTATTTATGTTTTCTATTTCTCTGGAGATTTTTCTATCCACTTCCTGTACCATTTTTTTTTATTTCTTTATATTGGTATTCACCTTTCTGTGGTGCCTGTTTGAATAGCTTAATAATCAACATTCTGAATTCCTTTTCTGGCAATTCAGAGATTTCTTCTTGGTTTGGGTCCATTGCTGGTGATCTAGTGTGGTTTTTGGGGGGTGTTAAAGAACCTTGTTTTGTCATATTACCAAATTGTTTTTCTGGTTCCTTCTCATTTGGGTAGACTATATCAGAAGGAAGATCTGGACTTAACAGCTGTTGTTCATATTCTTTGTCTTGCAGGATGCTCCCTTGATGTGGTGCTCTCCCTTTCCTCTCGGGATGTGGCTTCCTGAGAGCCAAACTACAGGGATTGTCATTTCTTTTCTGGGTCTAGCCACCCAGTGGAGCTACCAGGCTCCAGTCTGGTACTAGGGAGTATCTGCAAAGAGTCCTGTGATGTGATCCATCTTCAGGTCTCTCAGCTGTGGATACCAACACCTGCTCTAGTGGAGATAACAGGAGAGTGAAGTGGACTCTGTGAGGGTCCTTCATTGTAGTTTTTTTTAGTGTGCTAGTTTTGTTTGGCCTCCAGCCAGGAGGTGGTGTTTTCAAGACAGCATCAGCTGTGGTAGTGTAGCTTCCCCTAGGGTGACCTGGATAAATATTCGGGTTTCTTAGGTGGTGAGCAGGGCCATAGAGCTCCCAAGAGATTATCAAGTGCAGGTTTCTTACATGTATATGTTGTGTAGTGGTGAAGTGTGGGCTTTTGCTGTACCCATCACCTGAATCGTGAACATTGTATACAATAAGTAACTTTTTAACCCTCACCCCTCTCCCACCTTCCCATGTTTTGCAGACTCCAATGTCCATTATTCTAATCTATGTGTCCATGTGTACTCACTGTTTAGCTCCCACTTATAAGGGAGCACATGTGGCATTTGACTCTCTGTTTCTGAAATATTTCACTTAAGCTAATGGCCTCTAGTTCCATCCATGTTGCTGCAAAGGACATGATTTCTTTCTTTTTTTATGGCTGAGTAGTATTCCATGGTATATCCATATTGCATTTTATCTAATCCTCTGTTGATGGACACAGGTTGACTCTATATCTTTCCTATCTTGAATAGTGCTGCAATAAACATACCAGTACAGGTATCGTATTGATATAATAAATTCTTTCTTTTGGATATTGCCCAGTAGTGGGATGGCTGAATTAAATGATAGTTCTATTTTTAGTGCTTTGAGAAGTCTCCGTACTGTTTTCCCTAAAGATTGTACGAATTTATATTTCCACTAACAGCATATAAGCATTCCCTTTTCTCTGCAGCCTCAACAACATCTGTTGTTTTTTGACTTTTTATATATGATCTCTTTATAAAATAAGTTTTATAAACAGCCTGTTGTTTTCTGACTTTTATATACAGTCAGAATTAGTATTATTAAAAATTATTGTTAATGATAGCCATTCTGACTGGTGTAAGATGGAATTTCATTGTGGTTTTAATTTGCATTTCTCTTATGGTTAGTGATGTTGAGCACTTTTCATGTTTGTTAGCTGCTTGTCTGTCTTTTGAAAATTTTTGAGTGATCTCCATATGCAAGTTCTTATAAAAATTACAGGGCAAGATTGCACTCTTCAAAATATCTATTTGAAAATTCCAACAATCGTCTCCTTTTGAAGATTGTTTAATAGAACTTTCTGCAGTAATGGAAGTGTTTTATAAGCTGCAGCAACAAATATGTTAGTCACTGGCCACACGTGGGTAAAGAATAAATGGAATTGGGCAGTGAGACTGAAGACTTGAACTTTAAATTTTCTTCTAATTTCATTAATTAAAATGGCCATGTGTGATTCGTGTCTGCCATATTAGAAAGCACAGTTCTGGGATTTTTTTGTAGTTCTGGAACTACTGGCAGGTAGGATGCTTGGCATCAGGTAACCTTTATTTCAATCTCTCAACACAGAATTATCGAAGAAATATCTCCTTCTTCTTCCCCTCCAAAAACATACATTTCCAAAATAGTGGAACTTGTTTACTTAAAGTGAAATCTTCCATGTAAGATATGTGTGTGGGGGGTAGGGGGTAGGTGGGGAGTAGGTGGTATAGTTTATATCTGTGGCAAATTAAATGTCTTTTATTTATAGATGTTAGTGAGGGGATATTTAAAGAAAGACTGAAATGCCAAATTTCCTGCAGGGATAAAGTGTGAGATTCAAGATTCACGTTGTCTTTTTCCCAGGTGAGCACCTTAAACAATCTTCAGAAACACAAGGGAGACTCCAATGCCAAATAAAGGCTATAAATCTAAATCATTTGACATAATAAAGATGAGATGGAGCAAGTGACTAAGCAGAGGAGATGAAAAATGTGAGTAGAGTATTTTTTAATTTTATTGATATATAATGGTTGTATATATTTTGGGGGCACTTGTGATATTTTGATACCTGCATACGATGGATAATAATGACCAAATAATAGTATTTAGGATATCCTTCACCTCAAATGTTTATCTTTCTTTGTTTTGGGAACATTGCAATTCTTCTCTTCTATTGTAATTTGAAATATACAATACATTATTGTTAACTATAATTTCCCTAATGTACTATGATACTTGAACTTATTCCTTCTAACTACATGTTTGTACCTTTTAACCAACTTCTTTTCATTCCCTGCCCTCAAACCCCCTTCCCTTCCAGGCCTCTGGTAAACACCATTTTACTCTCTACCTCCATGAGATCCACTTTTTTACCTTCCACATGAGTGAGAACATGCCATATTTATCTTACTGTGCCTGGCTTATTTCTCTTAACATAGTGACCTTCAGTTTCATCCATGTTTATGCAAATAACAGGATTTAATTATTTTATATGGGCAAAAAATATTCCACTGCATTTATGTACCACATTTTCTTTATCCATTCATCTGCTGATGGACATGTGTTTTGGCTCCATATCTTGGTTATTGTGAATAGTGCTGCAATAAACATGGAAGTGTAGATATCTTTTCACAGCACTGATTTCCTTTATTTTGTGTAAATACCCAGCAATGGGATTGTTGTATCATATGTATCTTAGTCTGTTTTACATCGCTACAAGGAATACCTGAGACTGGGTAATTTATAAAGAAAAGAGGTTTATTTGCCTCACGGTTTTGCAGGCTGTACAGGCATGACATCCACATCTGCCCAACTTCTGGTGAGGCTTCAGAAAGCTTTTACTCATGGAAGAAGGTAGAAGAGGAGCAGTCATGTCACATGGCAAGAGAGGGAGCAAGAGAGCGAGAGAGAAGGGTACCACATTCCTTTAAACAACCAGCTCTTGTGTGAACTAATGGAACTCACTTATTACCACTACGATGATATAAGCCCTTCATGAGTAATCCACACCTGTGACCCAAACACCTTACATTAGGCCCTACCTCCAAAATTCAGGGATCAATTTCAACATGAGATTTTGAGGGGACAAATATCCAAATTATACGGTAGTTCTAGTTGTAGTTTTTGAAGAACCTCCATGCTGTTTCTCATACTGGCTATACTAATTTACATATGAGCGTTCTCCTTTCTCTGCATCCTCAATAGCATTTGTTGTTTTTTCATCTTTTTGATAATAGCCATTCTACTGAAGTGAGATAATATTTCATTGTGGCTTTGATTTGTATTTCCCTGATGATTAGTGATGTTGAGCATTTTTTCACATACTGGTCAGCCATTTGTATGTCTTCATTTGATAAATGTCTATTCAATTCTTGTGCCTTTTTTTTTTTTTTTAAGGAGTCTCGCTCTGTTGTCCAGGCTGGAGTGCAGTGGCATGATCTCTGCTCACTGCAACCTCTACCTCCCAGGTTCAAGCAATTCTCTGCCTCAGCCTCCCGAGTAGCTGCCTTACAGGCACCTGCCACCACGCCCAGGTAATTTTTTGTATTTTTAGTAGAGATGGGATTTCACCATTTTGGCCAGGCTGGTCTTGAACTCCTGACCTTGTGATCCAGCTGCCTCAGCCTCCCAAAGTGCTGGGATTACAGGAGTGAGCCACCTTGCCCAGCCCTTGTCCCAATTTTTAATTGGATTATTTGTTTGTTTTCTGTTGAGTTATTTGAACTTCTTATATTTTCCTAATATATTGTTGTTAGATGAACAGTTTGCAAATAGTTTGCACATTCTTTAGGTTGCTCTTCACTTCATTGTTTCCTTAAAAAGCAGAAGCTTTTTAACTTAATGTAATCACATTTGTCTATTTTTGTTTTTGTTGCCTGTGCTTTTGAGGTCTTACCCAAATCATCTTTGCTCAGATCAATGTCCTAAAACGTTTCCCCAATGTTTTCTTTTATGTCTTATATTTATCTTTCATGTCTTATATTTAAGTCTTTAATCCATTTTGGGTTGGTTTTTTGCACGTGGTGAAAGATGGGGATATAGTTTCATTCTTCTTCATGTGGATATCCAGTCTTCCCAGCACCATTTATTAAACATGCTGTTCCTTGGTGGCTTGTCAAAGATAAGTTGACTCTAAGTGGATGGATTTATTTCTTGATTCTCTATTCTGTTCCATTGGTCAATATGTCTATTTTTATGCAAATACCAGTCTGATTTGAATACTATAGCTTTGTAGTAAAATTTGAAATCAAGTAGTATGATCCCTCCAGCTATATTCTTTTTGTTTGAGATTAACTATTAAAGGACTTTTGTGTCTCTGTACAAATATTAGGGTTTTTTTTCTGTGAAGAAAATCATTGAAATTTTGATGGGGATTACACTGAATCTGTAGATCTGTTTGAGTAGTATAGAAATTTTAACAAGTTAATTCTTTTAATCCATGAGCATGGGATATCTTTTTATTTTTTGTGTATGCTCTTCAATTTCTTTCCTCAGTGTTTTATAGCTTTCCTTGCAGAGATCTTTCACATTTTGGTTAAATTTATTCCAAAGTTTTCTGTTTGTTTGTTTTTTGTTTTTTGTAGGTGTTGTAAATGGGATTGCTTTCTTAATTTCTTTTGCAGATTGATCACTGTTAACATGTGAATGATACTGAGTTTGTATGTTGATTTTGTATCCTGCAACTTTATTAAATTAATTTATTAATTCTGAGTATTTTGGTGGAGTATTTAGGTTTTTCTAACTATAGGAGCATGTTGTTTGCAAGCAACGATAATTTGACTTCTTTAATTTGAATTCGTATGGCTTTTATTTATTTATCTTGCCAGATTGCTCTGGCTAGGATTTCCAGTACTATTTTGAATAGAAGTGGTGAAAGTTTCAAATCTTAGTTGAAAAGCTTTCAATTTTTTTGACATGGATTTTCGCTCTTGTTGCCCAGGCTGGAGTGCAATGGCGCCATCTCGGCTCACCGCAAACTCCCCCTCCCAGGTTCAATCGATTCTCCTGCCTCAGCCTCCCGAGTAGCTGGGATTACAGACATGTTCGGCCATGCCTGGCTAATTTTGTATTTATTTATTTATTTATTTATTTATTTTTAGTAGAGATAGGGTTCTCCATGTTGGTCAGGCTGGTCTTGAACTCCCGACCTCAGGTCATCCGCCCACCTTGGCCTCCCAAAGTGCTGGGATTACAAGCATGAGCCAACATACCTGGCCCTATTGAATGCTTTTTAAGCATCTATTGAAAGGATATTATGGTTTTAATTCTTGATTCCGTTGATCTGATTTGTCACATTTATTGATTTGCATATGTTGACGCCTCCTTGCAATGAATTTCAGTTCCTCATGGTGAATCTTTTTAATGGGTTGTTGAATTCATTTTGTTATTACTTTTTTTTTTTTTTTGAGACAGAATCTCGCTCTGTAATCCAGGCTGAAGTGCAGTTGGCACGATCTCAGCTCACTGCAACCTCCGCCTCCCAGTTCAAGCAATTCTTCTGTCCCAGGCTCCCAAGTAGCTGTAACTGCAGGCATGCGCCAACATTCCTGGTTATTTTTTGTATTTTTGGTGGAGATGAGGTTTTGCCATGTTGGCCTGGCTGGTCTCAAACTCCTGACCTTAGATGATCCACCCGCCTTGGCCTCCCAAAGTGCTGGGATTACAGGCATGAGCCACCACACCTGTCTCAGTTTTTTAATATTTTGTTAAATATTTTTGCATCTGTTTTCATTAGGGATATTGGCTTCCTCTTTTTCTTGTCTTTCTCTTTTTCTTGTGTCCCTGTCTGGTTTTAATATCAGGGTAAGGCTGGCCTGTGGGTGAAGTACAGAAGGTAAGATGAGGATAAGCCTTAGAACAGAAGGCTCAAATAATCAGATAAAATTGATCAGGTAACCATCAATGTCAAAGAAATATGGTGAAGAACTATATTTGAATCAAGATTATGCAAAGAAGGTAAATAACTATACCAAGAAGTTCTTAAGTAACTGAAATAAATTATCACTGGGAGCAGCAATTCATGACCAGATGTGCCCATGTGTTTTAAGGCCCTCTAACACTTCTGCTATGTTATAGATCAGTGTGATCTTTGAGGATCATGAAATATTTTATGTATTTCTATCTTTCTCATTAATTTAGAGTAAAATCTACTAAAATACATATGGGTGATGTTTGATAAAATTAACTATTTTTAGAATACTGGCTGTTTTGTGTTTTCTATTCTGAAAAATACAGTTGTTTTTGAAACTTACTTAACCAAAAATATGTAGAATTTTCTGCCGGTAAAGCACTCTTATAATCATTTTTAAAATAGTGTATTTAATCATCATACTATTTCCAGTTACCAGATGTTGAAATTTAAACAAGGAATTTAAGCAACTCCCTTCTCAAAGTCACACTGGTAGTGAATTGAGGATCCTACATTTTAAACTTGCAGTTTATCTGCAGAATTCATGCTCCTCAAACATAAAAACAAACAAAAAATGAATTAAAACTATAGAGTGGACTCTGGAATCAAACATAGCCAGATTCAATTCATTGATCTTCTAGCTATATGACCTATTTAATTTACTTTTTTTTCCTCATTGTAGATGGAATTGAGTTTCAGTTAATTTTTCTCAAGATTCAATATGTTTTAGAATTGGAACTGCTTCATAATTTTACTTTTATTTTAACCTGTAATCTATTTGTTCACCAATATTTTTGAGTACCTATTATTTACCAGGCATTGTTATTATAATAAGTATAGATAAAAAGCAAAGGTCCCTGATCTTTTGAAACTATATATTATGTACCCATTAGTTTGTTTCATATCCTTTCACAGTGGTCCAAGACACTCATTTGATAGTGTCCTAACTTTATTCCATAAAAGCCAATCAGTGTTCTCAAATTACGCATTAAGTTTATCAAATGTCTTCTCAATAAAAAATAAATAATATAAAGTATTATTCCATATCAATATCTGTCCCTATGAGTCAGGTGACACATTTTCAAGTAATGTGACTGGACTTTTGTAACCACTGTATATACAGCTCAGAGAAAAACAAGCTTAATTACAGTTGAATATGAATGGTTTCTTCCCACAAGTAGATCATATCCTTGTCAAGAAGCATCTGAGTCACATCAAAGAGTAGTAATTAATGTTAATGGGAAACCCAACAAAATCAATTCCTTTCCTGCATTTAGTCTCCCAGGAAGAGTTTGGCTTCAGCTCACTATTGATGGATAGGCTCTTTGATTTTGGGAAAGTGACACTGTGATTACTTGGGCTATTTAAACTAGAAATGCTTCTCATGGGATTAGCTATACAATCATCATTTTCTGTTTAGAGACACACTTAGATCTTGATTAATCATCCCAGGTTCATAGAGACTGCAGGTAGGAAAAGGTTGCATGTGACATAGAGCTCCACAAATTATTACCATTTGTAATCATTGCAGTTGCTGCAATTTCTAGATGGGATCGTATATAGCATTTTGAGAAGAAATAATTCTTTGATTACAGGAAGAGTTAGGTGTGCCCTTATACTATTACAGTGGATACATAAAGGACATTTGATTAGTTTTGTTTTGATTTGCTTGCCTGCTCCTCATCCATTTTTCCTTCTTTTGATAAAAGCACACTGACCTTAATTTTTGGAACCACTTATTTCTCATTATCAATACTCTGGCTCTGATTATGAGTATGTGAGCCAGTGCTGGCCAATCAGCAGGTTCTCTCTTCTAGCCACAGTGTGATGAGAACATGGCTCAAGTCAGCCAGTACAGTGAAACTCAATCCTTGCATTTTTCTGGAACTATTAACTATTATTTTTTACTTCTAAAACTCTTTCATGCTGACTGACTGCTCAGAGGATTGCGTATAAGCCTTACTGTATTGGAGTGTTCCATGTGGGAATAGATTGACCAAGTACATCCAAAATGGAGGAAAGTCATAAAACATAAAGTAAATGAGTTCTGGTAGTGCTATCTGAGATCATGTATCTGGCATTGCTGGAAAACCATGCTACCTTCCTTTGCGTTGTTAAAATATGCAAGCCACTGATTCTTCTTTGTTACCTAATCCAGTTTTGGTTTGGTTTCTGTATCTAAGAGTCATCTGGAATTGCTCAAATGTTCCTCCTTGAAAACTGTGAGCCTGGATTAACGTTCCATAAGCCAGGGATGAGGAAAGGTGTTCAGTGTGGACTATGGCACAACCAATGGCTACCTCATGAGGGTACCTGGACTTACAAAGATTATTCTACTAGCTAAAGTTCAAGAATATGAACACAGACAAACTAGAACCAAAGTCAAAATTAGGAAATAAGTATAGAGAAAAGTCATTGTCAAGGCTGAAGGATGGAGGTGAGGAAGATTCCTTAAAGACTGAGCCTTTAATAAGGTGTTCTTCAAATCACATTTGGATGCTGAGGTGGTTCCAGTGAAATTTACCAGTAAGGTAAATATTCCAAATGTAGCAGTCTGTAATCCCTCATGCGAATATTGTTTGTATACAATAGATTTTATACCTAAAGTACTGACTTTGATGATAATTATATCTGAAAAAGGTTTTGAATAAACCATCTTGAAAATTCAGTAAATCAGTGCTTCCTATGAAGCAGGAGGACGAGACTCAGTTAGCTAGGAAAATCTGTGCCCATACTACTCAGATTTCTGCCGTGATTTACCACGACAGAAGGTTTGGCATCAGCCACATTCAAGGTATTAGTGTTTTCCTTTTGATTTCTTCTGTTTGAATTTGGGTGAAATGTTATTCATCATGATTCTTTGAGCAAAGTTTGGCTTTTTCTGTAAGAACCTATTATGGTATGGCTTAAGGCTGTATACATTAGTCTTCAATCTTTCATGACTGCTGTTTGAGTCATAATTAAAAGTTAGCTGTAAAATGCCACATAAATTGGTCAAACTTTGTCCATTAGGCTTAGGTTCTAAAAGGAATATATTTTTGGTTTATAATATGTAGGTCATTAAAAAAATGGAAAAGAATGAAAGAAGCGTTTGACTGTAACTCATTTATATTTTATGAAACAAATGCCTCAGCACTTATATTTTACTCAGCTTTTAATTAAAGCATGCATACAGTGTTACATAACTATTAATAAGTCTAAGTATTGCTGTGAAGCACTGCTATGCTTCAACAACTTTTATAAAAAGTTCATTCTGCTAATTCTAAAACTTTTGCTGGGACATTTTACTAAGATGACTTCATATGTAATAGGTATTTCCTTGAGTGGCCTAATTGTATATTTAAATATTCCTCTTTTTAAAGTGGCAATGAGTTTTGCTTTCCATGCCTAATTGTAACCAAGCTAAACTCCTTTACCTGATTTATAGGTCTTCATATATCCTGGCATACTTTAAGTTAGTTTGCTCTAGTCAATCCAGCTTAGGAAATAAGAGGAAGAAGAAAAGGAAGAATAACAGGGAAACAGAGAGGAGGAGGAAGAGAATGTAAGAATTTGTAGTTATCATTAGGTACAACTGGATCTTGCAATTAAGCAATGTCATTGGCTGGTACTCCTCATCCCCTGAGTCTGTTCTATTCTCCGCACGTTGGCAATAAACTGTTGGTAATATATGCAAGGCCAAAACATTTTAGCTTAGACTGATGATTGAAAAAATGATTTAAAATAATGCTAACTCTAGAACTGTGGTGGTTAGTACAACATCTTTCTGGTATGTAATCATACTTTCTTATTGACAAAGAAAAATAATTTAACTCTGGCTATCAGGGGACACTCAAAATCTTCAAACTAGTGTTAATAACCACAAGGTAGTTCTAGTTGCTTTAAGAAATATGCTGCCACATTTGAGTAATTTATACATACAAGTATATTTCCTGCTCACATAACTTCTGTGCAGATGCTCCTGGCCAGTCTCCATTTGGTAATTCAGGAGCCTAGAGTTCTTCCATCTTACAGGTTCGCTCTTTCTAGGAACTTAGGATCTTTTGTATCTGGCAATCAGATGGGGTATGAACAAGGGTATAGAGAGGGCCTGTTTCATTTTATTAACTAACATTTTGTTCAAGTGAAACACATAGCAGTAGCTCACATTCCTTAGGCAAGAACTAGTCCCATCTAGATGCAGGGAAGGATGGGAAATGTAACTCCTAGCTAGCCAGGCACAGCCCAATCCCAGCTGCATATTATGTGTGGAATTAAGTATGAATATTTGGTGGACAACTATTTATGTCTGCCACTACACTTAGATAAGGCTCCAGTAAGCTGATTGTGAGGATTTGAAAAACTACGATGCATAGTATCAACAAAATTGGCAGCAGTATGAACAATTCAGGCATGCAACTACTTTTTATGCAGTAAAGACAAAACAAAACATCAAAAATCAAAGAAACCAAAACGTGTTGAGCTATTTCCCATTTTATGGTTTAGTTTCCGTTTTCTGTTTCTTGCTGCTTGTGTTTTCTTTTTGTTTTAAGAAACATTGGAAATACAACCTCAGGCTGGCATATTATGAGTGACAACAGACTTTTGTGATTTCTCTCTCAAATCTTAACTTGTTCTTTCATTATTTCTTTTTTTGTTTTTTGTTTTTTTTGTTTTGTTTTTGGTTTTTGTTTTTTGTTTTTTGAGACAGAGTCTCGCACTGTCGCCCAGGCTGGAGTGCAGTGGCGCCATCTCGGCTCACTGCAAGCTCCACTTCCCAGGTTCACGTCGTTCTCCTGCCTCAGCCTCCAGAGTAGCTGGGACTATAGGCGACTGCCACCACGCCCGGCTAATATTTTTTTTGTATTTTTAGTAGAGACGGGGTTTCACCGTGTTAGCCAGGATGGTCTCGATCATCCAACCTCGTGATCCGCCCGCCTCGGCCTCCCAAAGTGCTGGGAATACAGACGTGAGCCACCGCGCCCGGCCTCTTTCATTACTTCTTAAAATAGTTTTAAGTGTTAACCCAAAAGAATTGATTTTAACACATGTAATTCCAATGTCTGAATTTACTATGTTCTATCCTGTCAAGATGATGCTAATTAACTGCTTTTTAAATTATTCTATTTGGTTTGTTTAATACAGCACTGTACTATTTACCGTCTTCACAAATATGAAGATTGAAAGTTTCAACAGTATTTTACTGAATGAAAAATACAAAAACAGGTGGCAATTACCACAATACCGTGTTCAATGGTAAAACACTGGCAAATCGGATAATTTATCAGCAGATGTTTTATTATGTTAATTCATTTAATTTTGGATATAAGGAGTCTAAACTAACCAAAGCTATGTGCAAACTGAGGGAATATAGAGACAAGCACAGGGCACTGACTTGTTTTGTATGATAATTTTCCCTAATAAGATTCCCGTCAATTTTATTTTCGTCAATAAATCATAGCAGGAAATCCTAGCCAGAGCAATTAGACAAGTGAAAGAAGTAAAAGGCATCTAAATAGGGAAAGACAAAATCAAACTATCCCTCTTTGCTGGTGATATGATTCCATACCTAGAAAATCTTAAAGACTATGCCCAAAGGCTCCTGGAACTGATAAATGTCAGTTTCAGGATACAAAATCAATGTACAAAAATCATAGAATTACTACATAATACTATGTACTACTATTACTAAAATCATAGAATTTGTAGAACTACAGAACACTGCTGAAAGAAATCATAGATGACACAAACAAATGGAAATGCAATCTACACATTCAGTGCTATTCCTATCAAACTACCAATGTCATTTTTCACAGAATTAGAAATAATTATTTTAAAATTCACATATAATCAAAAAGAGGCTGACTGATCAAAGCATTTGTTTTTTTCTTTTTTGAGATGGAGTCTCACTCTGTCATCAGTCTGGAGTGCAGTAGTGTGATCTCAGCTCACTGCAACCTCCAACTCCCTGGTTCAAGCAATTCTCCTGCCTCAGCCTCCTGAGTAGCTGGGATTACTGGCATGCACCACCATACCCAGCTAATGTTTGTATTTTTAGTAGAAACAGGGTTTCATCATGTTGACCAGGAGGGTCTCAATCTCCTGATCTCGTGATCTACCCATCTCAGCCTCCCAAAGTGTAGTCAAAGCAATTTTAAGCAAAAAGAAAAAAGCTGGAAGTGTCACATTACTTGATTTCAAACTATACTACAAGGCTACAGTAAACAAAACATCATGGTACTGGTACAAAAACAGACACATAGAAAAATGCAACAGAATAGAGAACTGAGAAATAAAGCCACATGCCTATAGCCAACAAAGTTGATAAAACCAAGCAATGGGGAAAGGACTAAATGATGCTGGGATAACTGGCTAGCCATATGCAGAAGAATGCAACTGGACCCCTACCTTTCACTATATACAAAAAGTAACTCAAGATGGATTAAATATTTAAATGTAAGAATTCTAAATGTAAGAATCCTAGAAGAAAATCCAGGAGACCAACGTTCTAGACACTAGTCTTGGAAAGAATTTATGACTAAGTCCTCAGAAGCAACGGCAACAAAAAAGAAAATTGACAAGTGAGACTTATTTAAACCAAAGAGCTTCTGCACAGCCACAAGAACTATCAATAGAGGAAATAGCCTATATAATGGAAGAAAATATTTGGAGACTATGCATCTGATAAAAGTCTAACATCCAGAATCTATAAGTAATTTAATCCAACGAATGAAAAACAACCCCATTAAAAAAATGGGCAAAGGACATAAACAGACACTTTTCAAAAGAAGACATACAAGCAGCCAACAAATGTATGACAAATGCTCCACATCATTATCATCAGGGACATGCAAATTAAAATTACAGAGAGATATTATTTCACACCAGTCAGAATGGCTGGTGTGAAAAAATATAAATATATATATATATAAAATAAGTCAAAAAATAGTTGCTGATGAGGCTGCAGAGAATAGGGAACACTTACACACTGTTGTTGAAAGTGTAAATTAATTCAGCCATCATAAAAAGCATTTTGGTGATTTCTAAAAGAACTTAATGCAGAACTAACATTTGACCCATTAATCACACTATTATGTATATATCCAGAAGGAAATAAATTGTTCTTCCAAAAAGATACATGCACTTATGTGTTCAACGCAGGACTATTTACAATAACAAAGACGTGGAATCAACCTAGGTGCCTAACGATAGTGAATTAGATAAATAAAATGTGGTACGTGTACACTATGAAATACTATGCAGCCAGAAAAGAAAACAAATCATATCATTTGCTGAAACATGGATGCAGCTGGAGGTCATTATCCTAAGCAAATTAACAGAGGGACAGAAAACCAAATATCACATGTCCTCGCTTATAAGTGAGAGCTAAACAATGGGTACTTATGAACATAAAGATGGGAGCAATAGACACTGGGGACTACTAAAGGAGGGAAAAAGGGAGGGCATCTAGGTTTGAAAAACTGTTAGGTATTATGCTCACTTCCTGTGTGATGGGTTCAATCATACCCAAACCTCAGCATCACGCAATATACTCATGTAACAAACCTGCACATGTATCCCATAAATCTAAAATAAAAGTTAAAATTATATTAAAAAATAATTCATGGCAAGTCCCCAAACTGGTGTCACTAAACCACATTTATTAAAGATTCATAATTCTTTTGAAATTTCTTATAATGTTTTAAAAAATAATTTGTCATGATTTGTTCTCTCTGCTGGTAATTAAAATATTTCCTTCCCATTTGTCACTCATATTCATTCAACAATAAATATCTCATATATATACTTATATATATATATACATATGTGTATATGTATACATATGTATGTATATATACATGTGTGTATATATATGTGTGTGTGTGTGTGTATATATATATATATATATTTTGCCCTCAAAGTACTTCTTTTTATAACAGAACTGTTATTACCAGAACTGAATAATGATATCTGACAATGACATCAGTGACATTTCGCAGAAGTGTATGGTAAATGTTGACTAAGTTAAACAGATAATATATATGATGTACTCTGAGTATAAAATTTATCAAAGAGGAGAAGAGTAACCTGAAAAATCTTCTTGGAGGTGGTATGAATTAGAGATTTTAGGAGTTGAATAGTATAATAATAAGCTAGGAATTTCCAAAGAGGAAAACAGTGTGAAAGAATGATAGAGAAGAGGTCTGAGTATAACATTTAGAGAGAAGAATCAGAAAAGTGTTATGGCTGAAGAGGGGAGGGCTCAAGGAGAGGAAGGTAAAGAACTTTGAGAGCTGATAAACTCACCAACCAGTTTATTTGGGGGAACAGAATAAATTATGTGTAAATTAAGACCTTAATGATGAGGCAGTGATACCGACTCTGCAGTGTGGAAGTAAGGAATCTGAAAAAGTTTCCAGTAAAAAGAATGACATCCACAAAAATCCAAAGGAGACTAAAGTATTGATTACTTAAGGAACTACAAAAAAGTTCATAACGATTAAAAGATAAAGGTTTTATGCATGGCAAAGGGAAGAGAAGACAATAGTTGGGATTGAGAAAGATGAGTTGTAGAAGGTTGCTTAGCTTGGGCCAAAACCTGGAGGCTATTTTTCATCACATTTAAAGGTTGGATTTTACTCTGAAAGCACTGTGTATTAGTCCATTCTCACACTGCTAATAAAGACATACCTAAGACTGAGTTACTTATAAAGGAGAGAGGCTTAATTGACTCACAGTTCAGCATGGCTGGGCCCCAGGAAACTAACAACTGGGGCAGAAGGAGAAGGAAACACATCCTATTTCTCATGGAAATAGCAAGGAGAAGTGCCAAGCAAAAGAGGGAAAAGGCCCTTATAAAATCATCAGATCTCATGAGAACACACTCACTATCACGAGAACAGCATGAGGGTAACCACCCCCATGATTAAACTACCCCCAACTGGCTCCCTCCCACAACATGTGGGGATTATGGGAACTACAATTCAAAATGATATTTGGGTGGGGACACAGCCAAACCATATCATTCCACCCCGACCCCTCCCAAATCTCATGTCCTCCCATTTCAAAACATGATCATGCTCTTCCAACAGTCCCACAAAGTCTTAACTCATTCTAGCATTAACTCTAAAGTCCAAGTTCAAAGTCTCATCTGAGACAAGGCAAATCCCTTCCATCTGTGAGCCTGTAAAATAAAAAGTAAGTTAGTTACTTCATAGATACAATGGGACTACAGGCATTGGGTAAATACAGCCATTCCATATGAGAGAAATTGGCCAAAGCAAAGGGGCTACAGGCCCCATGCAAGTCTGAAATCTAATAGGTCTGTCATTATACCTTAAAGTTCCAAAATGATCTCCTTTGACTCCCTGCCTCACATTCAGGTCATGCTGATGCGAAAGATGGGCTGCAATGGCCTTGAGCAGCTTCATCCCTGTGGTTTTGCAGGATGAAGCTCCTATCCTGGCTGCTTTCATGGACTGGAGTTGAGTGTCTGTGGCTTTTCCAGATGTAGAATACAAGCTGTCAGTGAATCTCCCATTCTGGGGTCTGGAGGACAGTTGGGACACTTCTTACAGCTCCACTAGGCAGTGCCACAGTGGAGTGGCTCTGTTTGGGGGGTCTGACTCCACATTTCTCTTCTGCACTGCCCTAGCAGAGGTTCTCCATGAGGGCTCCACCCCTGCAGCAATCTTCTATCTGGACATCCAGGCATTTCCATACATCCTCTGAAATCTAGGCAGACGTTCCCAAACCTCAATTCTTGAGTTCTGTGCACCTGCAGGCCCAAAACCACATGTAAGCTGCCGAGGCTTGGGGCTTGCACTCTCTGAAGCAATGGACTGAGCTGTATATTGACCCATTTTAGCCATGGCTGGAGCTGAAGCAGCTGGGACACAGGGCACCATGACCCAAAGATGCATGTAGCAGGTAGTCCCCTGGGCCCAGCGCATGAAACCATTTTTCCCTCCAAGGCCTCTGGGCCTTTGATAGAAGGGGATACCTTGAAGGTTTTTTACATGCCCTGGAGACATTTTCCCCATTGTCTTTGTAATTCACATTCGACTCCTCATTACTTATGCAAGTTTCTGCATCAGGCTTGAATTTCTCCCCCAAAAATGGGTTTTTAATTTTCTTTTACATCATCAGGCTGGAAATTTTCCAAACTTTTATGATCTGCTTCCTCTTAAATGCTTTGCTGCTTAGAAATTTCTCCTGCCAGATACCCTAAATTATCTCTCTCCAGTTCAAAGTTCCACAGATCTCTAGGGCAGGGGCAATATTCTGCCAGTCAATTTGCTAAATCATAGCAAGAATCACCATCATTCCAGTTCCCAACAAGTTCCTTATCTCCGAGACCATCTAAGCCTGGACTTCATTGTCCATATCATTATCAGCATTTTGGGCAAAGCAATTCAACAAGTCTCTAGGAAATTCCAAACTTTTCCACATCTTCCTGTCTTCTGAACTCTCCGAGTCTCTAGAAGGTTCCAAACTTTCCCACATTTTTCTGTATTCTTCAGAGCCCTCCAAACTGATCCAACCTCTGCCTGTTACACAGTTCCAATGTTACTTCCACATTTTCAGGTATCTTTACTCCAGCACCCCACTTGTGGTACCAATTTACTGTATTAGTCATTTTCATGCTGCTAATAAAGACATACCTGAGAATGGGTAATTCATAAAGAAAAGAGGTTTAATTGACTCACAGTTCAGCATGGCTGGGGAGGCCTCAGGTGTAGGGAAAAGAAAGAGAGATCAGACTGTCACTGTGTCTATGTAGAAAGGGAAGACATAAGAGACTCCATTTTGAAAAAGACCTGTACTTTAAACAATTGCTTTGCTGAGATGTTAATTTGTAGCATTGCCCCAGCCACTTTGACCCAGCCACTTTGACCCAACCTGGAGCTCACAAAAACATGTGTTGTATAAAATCAAGGTTTAAGGGAGCTAGGGCTATGCAGGACGTGCCTTGTTAACAAAATGTTTACAAGCAGTATACTTGGTAAAAGTCTCGCCATTCTCTAGTCTCAATAAACCAGGGGCACAATGCACTGTAGAAAGCCTCAGGGACCTCTGCCCTTGAAAGCGGGCTATTGTCCAAGGTTTCTCCCCATGTGATAGTCTGAAATATGGCCTCGTGGGATGAGAAAGACCTGACAGTCCCCTAGCCCGACACCCGTAAAGGGTCTGTGCTGAGGTGGATTAGTAAAAGAGGAAAACCTCTTGCAGTTGAGATAGAGGAAGGCCACTGTCTCCTGCCTGCCCCTGGGAACTGAATGTCTTGGTATGAAACCCGATTGTGCATTTGTTGAATTCTGAGATAGGAGAAAAGCTGCCCTGTGGTGGGAGGCAAGACATGTTGGCAGTAATGCTGCCTTATTATTTACTCCGCTGAGATGTTTGGGTGGAGAGAAACATAAATCTGGCCTATGTGCACATCCAGGCATAGTACCTTCCCTTGAACTTAATTATGATATAGATTATTTTGCTCACATGTTTTTTGCTGACCTTCTCCTTATTATCACCCTGCTCTCCTACTACATTCCTTTTTGCTGAAATAATG
Organism: Homo sapiens; assembly: GCF_000001405.40. Lineage (NCBI taxonomy): Eukaryota > Metazoa > Chordata > Mammalia > Primates > Hominidae > Homo > Homo sapiens. The sequence goes on from NC_000005.10 coordinate 162,370,935, forward strand.
AAAATAATAATAAAAACTGAGGGAACTCAGAGGCCGGTGCCGGTGCAGGTCCTTGGTGTGCTGAGTGCCAGTCCCCTGGGCCCACTGTTGTTTCTCTATACTTTGTCTCTTTGTCTTATTTCTTTTCTCAGTCTCTTGTCCCACCCGACTAGAAATATCCACAGGTGTGGAGGGGCAGGCCACCCCTTCACTCAGGAAACTTACAATCATAGTGGAAAGGGAAGCAAACATGCCCTTCTTCACATGGTGGCAGCAAAGAGAAGTGCTGAGCAAAAGGGGGAAAAGCCCCTTATAAAATCATCAGATCTCGTGAGAACTCATTCACTACCATGAGAACAGCATGAGAGTGACTGCCCCCATGATTAAATTATCCCTCCCATGACAAGTGGGGATTGTGGGCAATTCAAGATAAGTTTCGGGACACTGCCAAACCGTACCACACTGGGATCTCCTTGGAAGGAAGAACAGGGTCAGAATATGGTGGATTACACTAAGATGCAGTGGGGATGATCTAAAAGAGTTGGCACAGTTGGAGGTAGGAGTAACCATTATTAGAAAATTGAAGTGAATTCAGATGATAAACAGTAGTGAAGGGGACTGTAGTGGCATGGGAATAGAAAGAAGTAAATAGATGAATGGTGTAGTAAGGAGAAAGAACTCATAAGATTTCTATGTGAATAGAGGACCTTAGGACCATTCTGGTGCCCTCTTGGTCCATGCATTTCCACTTTGGGTATTCTTACCCTATATTGTATTAGGCATATTACAAAATACTTACAAACCTATTGAATATCATAAGTAATTATAACAAAGTGGAACTCTCTAATTTTTATATTGAGTTCTTATAAATTCCATTATTAATTTTTTCTTACAATTTTAACCTTATTAGGTTAAATCTACGCTTTGATTTTTACATCTATATAAGATTTGCATTGAGCAATTGGTTAGTTATAAAATAATTCATGGACAATTAACTAAATCATTATAATTTTAATTTTTCTGGGTTTATATATGGATATGTAAATTTTATGTACAATTTCAAATGTTTTCAGAAGCCCTTCAAAAGCTTTTTGGTCCTAGGTGCTGTACTTTTTATATAACGTTGTCTTGGATGGTGGCGACTCTCACTAATATATCAAGAATTGTGAAAAGGAAGATCAAATTCCAAGAGCCTCCCACAACACCCTTTTAGAGTTTCATGTACTAAAGTTCTAAATCAATACTTTTAAATTCAGCAAGTCTTGGAGGATGCTCTAGATCATGGAGTAAGTTTCCCCACCTCCTTGTGGAGACGTTTGTAGCTCAGTGGGAAAAAAAAGGAGAAATCTGTTTTTCCATGCAGACCCTTCTCATAAATGCAGTCATTTGTGGTCTTAGGGAAGGAGGAAAAAAACACAGCTGCTGCTGTATCTCAGGCCAGCCCAGGCCACTCTGTGAAGCTATTTCAGTAATAAAAGGGCCCAGCATGCTGCAGAAGGGCAGATGCTGCATTGACGTCAGCCCCTCCTCAGGGCCAGTCTTCAGTGTGCGCATATTCATCTGCCCATGAACAGTGCACCCCACGAATCCACACTGACATGTCATGGCTACAGTACTGACTTAGACTTTCTCCTTGACCACTTGCCATTTCTGCAGAAATCAGAATCTTCTCCTTGCTTCTTAACAATTGCCAGCTAAGCCTTGTACTGGAGCAGAGTCAGAGGCAAAAAGGCAAGGCAATTTATGACACATTAGTAAAGTGAAAGTAAGTCAAAGCTCTAGGATATCTAAACAATTAAAATTAAATTTTTTCAAAAAAATTTTCTTCAAATTTTTTTTTCATTTACCAATTTGTTCTATAGCGTGTTCTGAATCAAATTTACCTCCATTTCAAGGGAATATTAGATTTTTTACTGGAGTTATTTGATATGAATCTGTCATGTAGGCAATTGAGATCAATATTCAGCTTTATATATTTTTATATATTTTTTCCTCCAATCAGCACTTTTTAGGAAAAAAAAAGCAAGCTAGGTGAAGAGTTAGAAGGGACAGAGAAGAAGAGGTAGAAAAAAATGGTAATGGAGAGAAAAAAGAAAAAGAAAAATCTGTGAAAAAATCTGTGAAAATCACTTTTCCTCTTTCTGTCTTCCATGAATGATTAATTCAAACTTTCTTTAAAAATTTCCCCATCTAATCATATGGAGCCTCTACTCCAAATGAAGTTCACTTCGTGAGTATAAAGGTAACATCCCTAGATTAAGGAGTTTGGTTCTTTTCTTCCTGTCACTAAATAAAATTAAAAATGTTATTTGACATTATTGTTCCAGTCCTGTAGATTATAAATTATGGCCATGGGTCTAGTTAAAGCTAGTTTTCTTTGGCACTCACATTCACCAGGCATCCCACCCTCTCATTCTTTAATAGACTCGTCTATATCATCTCTTCTTTTTTTTTTATAGTATTTATTTTGTCTTGCTATGTTGCCCAAGCTCATCTTAAGCTCCTTGCCTCAAGCAATCCTCCTGCATCAGGCTCTTGAGTGGCTGAGATTATGGGCACAAGCCACTGCACCTCATATAATCTCTTATAAGAAATATTTATCTTTGGCTTCCAGAACTTGATCAGCCAATATATTCAACATAAAAAACTAGTTCTGTAATAAACACTGTTCTCTAAACTATGTTCATTTTATCTCCAGAGATAAACTGTAAATTATCTTTGAACATCAAACTGATAGTGTGCTGCTTCCAGGGTAATTGGAAACCCTGAGCCCCAATCTAGAAAATACATAATAGTATATCAATGTGTATTGTTTTATTTAGTCTTTTACAAGAGCTCATCAAATGCCAGACTTTGCTAAAATTTGAGGAGACGGAGAAGATGAATTTGAATCCATTCTCTAGGGATGCTCTCAACAAAGTGGAGGTGATGGACTCGTGATCTGATGAATTCAGAAAAACATGACAAGTTTATGAATGAAAGGTAGTGAGGACATAAAAATTGCATAATTAATTTTGCCCAGTGTGGTCATATCAATATATATATTTAATCTGGGTCTAGATTTTGAAGAATATGTATGACTTTATTAGGATAAAAATTAGGGAAAGAGTTAGGAAATGTCCAGGCAGAAGTAATATTTCAGAATCATAATAAAAGTTTCCCCAACCTTTAGCACACAACCATGTAAATAGAATTTACTATTTAACATAGTTTCATTTTGATTAATAAAAAATCCTCTATATTTGCTGGGAAAATCTAGATTAATATTTGCCTAAAAACTACAAAGAGAGCCAAAGCCCTTTTACTCTGTATTTAATGTGCTATCTTAAATAAAAGCTGAGATGATTCAGTTATCACGAAGAGAAATATGCCAAATATTCAATTTGATGCATTTTGGTGATGTCAACCTAAAGAGTTTCTTAAGCCCCTAATATTCCCTGCTGGTCTATTCTAATTAACATGAGCACTGTGTTTGAAGGACAAAGTTTAGTCTACAAAGGCACTGCCTGAAGTAATAGCATTTACATCTTGCTTTATTTCCCTTATGAAAATAGAAAAAAAAAAAAGACTCATGCCCAAGTGGGGAACAAGAGTACTGTCCCAATCATCTATTTAGCTAAAATATATATGTATTTGATTCTAAGTTCTAATTACCTCAGTATGTTCCCTTCATTTTTGCCAAGCGTAGCTAAAACATGAAGTTTTGCTAATATTTTGGAACCAGATTTATATCCAGTTACATTCTACAGCTGCTTAATGTATGCTTGATGCTTTACATGCACACAGTGCTAGATACCAGGAATATAAACAGTGAATAAGGCAAATACCACCAAAATCTTGCAGACTCTTCTATCTAATGGGAAAAATGTAGAAAACAAGGAAATGGCTGATCATGACTCTAGGATCAAAGGACTCAAATGGCTCACTGTCAAACTCCATTCATTAAATAAATACCATTTAAACTCAGTATCATGATCTACAAGACCCTACATGTTCTGCTCCTACATAATTCCCTTTCATCATCACCTACTATTCTCCCCTTCTCCCACTTAATTTTAGAAATGTAGACCTCCATGTTCATCTTCAAACATGTCAAATTTATTCCCACACCTGAGCGTTTTTATTTGTTGTTTCCTTGGCAAGGAAATCTTCGCTAATTTCCTGAATTCATTCAAGAGTGTACTCAAATGTTACCTTTAGAAAGCTTATTCCTGACCATGATTTTTCAGCTGGTCTCATCTACTTTCTATCATGCTGTAACAGTCTTTGTGGCTCATATAACTTGCTGAAATAATATTACACACACATATATGTACACACACACACATGTACACACACACAAATACATTACATGTCTCTCTTCTAGAGAGGAAAGCCAGTTTGAGCCTCTTGTTTACAACTATATCTCCAGTCTCTTGTACAGTGCCTTGCACTTAATAAATGTTCGATAAATATTTTCTGGTTTTTATTGGAGTTGATTTATGTATGCAGAGTGATATGAAAGGGGAAGAAATGGTTTTTGAGTGTCTTTTCCCTTTAGAAATTTGCACATGATCATTCACCATTAATTTTCTGTTCCACTCTGGCTATCTAGAATGTGATATTTCTAATGGAATGATCACAGAGGATAGTTGATTCTGAAACTCAAATTTGTCAGTTGAAATGGAAGTACACTCCTCTGTCTGAATATTGCCAACATTTCAAACTGATGTACTGATTTCTACCAACAATTATGAGAACTTATCTAGTTCTCATAATTCTGAAAACATTCCCTTTATTGAACAGCATCTGTTCTGTTTTGATTTGAATCAGTCAACTTGTATATTTTTTAAGGTCCGTTGCTGCTAGAGACTCCTCTACCCGCAACACAAATGCTTTAATTACAGGTTTCCTTCTCTGTCTTCATTCCCAAGGAAGGAAATACTTTAATCTACTCTTAACATTCGTCACCAGTTTCAGTGTCAGTGACCCCATCATCTTCATAGCTCGCTGCCTGTATATTTTTTTTTGGCTAATCCTTTTGTGTTTTTTTACATTTAAATTTAACACTAAACATAAATGAGAATTTTCAAGCTCAATAGAGCCTAACAATCTTTCCATCAGCTTTACAGGTGATTTGCTTTCTAATTACCATTCAAAATAATATATACATAGCTATTTTTACACTCATATATTAGTTGCTGCTATATGCAATTGAATAAAGACAGATACAGAGACAGGCACAATTATATCTGCAAATCATTGCAGTAAGTTGGATGTTTATTCACAGAAACATCTAGTTGATGATCACTTGCTGGCAAGATTGGACAAGTTTCAAAACAACTCCAAAGGAGATCTGAGCATACTGTTATAAAGAAAAATTTCACAGAACATAATCAAGATATTTGTGTTTGCTAAGGGAATTACAACCCCATGAAAAATGAATTCTCTAACTTTGAGGTAGAGGTGTCATTTATTTACTGTGATATTAACTGCAAGCCAAGATCAGTTTGCTTCAATGAAAAAAGAGAAAATGTTTCTGATCAAGCAAATTCAAATGAAAACATTGCCATTTCCCATTTGCCTTTTGGCTATTCTTTGCTACTTCCTTTAGAATACTACCTTAACACATTCATATACAATTGATGGAAATGTAAATTAGTTTGATCCTTCTGGAGGAAAATTTAGAAACAAGAATAGCATCTTTTAAAATTCTTATTTGAGCTACTAGAAATGGACTCTAGCCAACAGAAGCAGATAAATACTTTATTGATGGTGTGTCTTAGAGCTATTAGAATGGAAGGGATATCTAATGATCCCAGGTTTAGCTAGGGCCAGAAAAGGACTGGGTGGAGGTACAGGAAGTAATAGACATCTTTTAGGGAGTGTGCAATGAAATGAATTAGGTCCAAGCATTTTCAAGCCTTTATAATTCAAGTCCTCTTTCATAACACTTTACTAACCCTCCCTTTTTCTTTAGCTCTTACTGATGTCACTTTTCTGATTTCTCATTCCTGGATGACAAATGTTTCCCAGACCAACTCTGATCAGTTGTTTGGCTGTTTGAGAAGGATTTGGAGGATCTGTCAAGGCTCAGTTGGAAAGAAAACTTCGATGATTAGCAGTGTATGCTATGGGTGCTGATGGGAGAAAATGGTTGCCCTTAGACTAGATTAGATCTGAGAAAACAATAAAGGACTCATGGCACAAAAACATTAAAATATTTTTAAAACCCATTAGGAACTGGTATAATTCAAAGTTACACACATTAACATGCAATCAAGTATGAATGTACAAACAGGATTATGATAACCTTAATTACATTTGCCTTGGGCATAAAAGTATTAGCAAATGCAATGCATAGTTATTATAACCTTGAACATAAGCCAGTAAAATCATAGTGATAATCCATTGGATAAATTTTGTTCAACTTTTATTATCTGACTGAGTGTACATAAACTAAACTGCTACTATTGGTTTATAAAGAAGTTATAAGTTGATACAACAGGTCGCATGGAAAAATTTGGGATGAGGGTGAACAAATAAAATGGACTTTTTCTCTCTGTCATTTATTTATTCTGTAGCAAATACTATGCTTATTTGTCCTTCCTATATCCTTTTAAGTAAGATATGAGGAATGTCTCCTTTTACAAATGTGGAAGTAGGTTCAAAAGCTTTTTGCTCCAAAGTAGGGGATAGTTTCACCCAAGTCCAACTGTTCTATAGTCCATGCCTTTAATTGTTTTACTATTTTATTATGTAACCTCAAAAGACAGTGTTAAATCATCCATACTTTCTGTAGATTCCCTCAGCTATATAGCTAACAGAAAGTAGGCAGAAACAGATAACAACTGATCATAGTACCTGGTAGGTGCCCATTCATCTGATATAAGAGTGGATGGAGGAGGGAGTTAACTTTTCACCAGGAAAATTATAAAACTACATAATCTCTACTTTTTTACTTTAAAAAATCCTAATAAAGACCCACTTCTATTATTATCAATGTCAAACTCAAATGTTAAAGTGACAGAATTGAATATTGAGAGTGTTACTTTGGGAACCATACTGCCTGAGTTCATATCCTTGGCTCTAATACTTGCAAAGTGTGTAACACTGGAGAAGTTATTGAGCCTCTCTGTTCTTTAGTTCCTGCAATTGAAAAATGTAGATATAATGATTCCCATCTCGTATTATTGCATCATATTATTGCAAGAAACAAAATAATGTATCTAGAACACCTAGATCTGTGCATGGAATGCTGTATAATTGATGTGTTTACTATTATTATCATTGTTATAATGGTAATTACTCTTATTCCAAATCTATAGATACCACCAATAATTTAATTCTGTTTTCAGTATCACAGCTGCCCATTTTAGAATTCTCTACCATGGTCAGTTGCTTATCACTGATAACTAACTCCACCATTAAAACCTTCCTTTCCCACATGAAGCACTGAGATGCAGTGATGAACAAAACAGATGCTTCCTTATCCTCATCAAATTTTCAGCCTCTTAGGGAATACAGAAATTAAGATAAATTAATAATTTGGAGTACTATGAATGTTTTGAAAGAAAAATGTAGTTGTGATAGAGTACAATTGTGGTGTTGGCATTATGGAAGGCTTTCTGAGAAAGTGGCGTTTCAGTTGAAACTTGAGGGAAAAGGAAGCTAAGTGAAGAGAAGTGATTCAAACAGAGGAAAAGGTATGTGTGAAAAGTTAGAAGGATGGGTACACACCAGCTAGGTATTTATGATGTAGCTTGAATGTACCCTTGTATAAGAGGAAGCGTGAAGAGAGGAGAGTAGAGTCCACTAAAGGCAAGGTCTTGTTTGTCATTTTGGGAAGTTTGTATCTCGAGGATCATGGAAAGTCACAGAAGGGTTTTAAACAAGGGAATGACAATCCTTTTGTTACTCACAGAAAACTTGTATTCAGCCTATTCCCAGTATTGCAGATAGAACAAGAACTAAAAAGGAATTGAAATGTTTACTTAAGTCTTGTCTTAGCTCAGGCTGCTACAACAAAACTATCAGAGAGTGGGTGGCTTATGAACAACAGCTATTTATTTCTTAAATATCTGTCCTGGAGGCTGGAAGTCCAAGATCAGTGTGCCAGTATAGTCAGGTGAAAGCCCTCTTATGGGTTGATGACTTCCAATTTCTCATCCTATCCTTACCTGGCAGAGAGTAGAAGGGGGAAGCAAGCTCTCTCATGACTCTTACAAGGGCGCTAATTTTATTCACAATGGCTCTGCCCTCATAACCCAATCTTATCCTAATTATCTCCAAAGGTCCTACTTCTAATACTGTCACATTTGGTGGAGTTTGTTTTAGTGTTTTTACATATGAATATTGGGACACACAATTATTCTATATATAATGATTCTCTTTAAAAAATGCTGATAGGAAACTTAATTGAATAAAGCACAGAATACCCTAGAATTTTGTTTCACCATCTATCTCCCTGAAGCCATTCTAGCATAATAGCTATTTTTTCCACTTCTCATGCCCCTTTCCAAAGAAAGCTCCTTCTATCTTTTCATTTTCAAAACCACTGTTACTTTTCTTTCTCCCTCTTTCTTTATTTCACTTCTCATTTCCAAGACAGACTTAGAAAGGCATGACCTACATTCCCCTTCATAGAGACTCCCAAGTTGAGGGGAGTGTGGTCAGCAGGCAATCTTTAGCATTGAACCCATTCAGAGGGTCTTCTTTAGCTGTGGAGACCAATCTCTTCCCAGGTCATTTCTTTCCCAGGGAGGCCCACTTCTGTGACAGAGAAATGAGGATATAAGGACCTGGCAATTTCTGCCAAAATGGGGAAACTGTCCATCCATATACACCCAGAGGTCCCAGCAGGGTAGGCCGAGGCTTTGTCAATCCTGCATGGCAATTAAATTTCTCCCTTTATCCAATCCTTCTATCTCCCATTTCTTTCACCAGTTTTGACCCTGATAAAGCTCTTGCAGCCCACACATTTCTGCACACATTTCCAGAGAACTCAGCCTGCTGTAACTTTTCCTTCTATTTTATTCTTCAGAAGGTATATCTGCCAGTTCACATATAGATGAACTCATTTTTTTTAAAAGTGAGTTTTAAAAAATTATTTCTCTGTGCACATTGCTCTGATCAAAGGGAGAGAAACCCAAGCCATGGGGCTTGTGTAGCACCAAAAACCTCTCTCACAAGTTCATGGAGCTATGTGTGAGTGTGGAAGGCAGTAAATAAGGTATAGTAAGCCTATGACTTAGCACATATTATGATTTTTTGTAAATATCACGCAGACTTCCTGGAACACCTCTTTCATGAGGCTTCTCTCCAGTCAATGAGATTACAGGAGCCAGGAAAAAGGCATCAAATTCCACATTCTCTGCAGCAAAGCATCTGCCTGTCTTCTGCCCATAGCAGCAAATTTGTATTTGATCTCATTATTCTAGTGCATTTTTGTGATGACCTAGCAAAGAATTGGAGATAAAAATGGTAGGAAGAAGTGAGAGAAGAAGAAGGACTTTGTGAGGTCAATCCACATAATCAGGAGTGGAGGGTGGAGTGGGGCATGTTTGGCTGGTTGGCTTGCTTTTTGGAGGGTAATGGCAGTGGGAATGTTGGGCATGATAGAGTTGGGGAGAAAAAATGGGAGATTTGAGAAATATTGCTAGGGGTTATGAACTTGATCTCCTTTTATGTATGTTGAGAGGTAGGGAAATTATTAAAGTTCTCTTTTATTGCTCTTTTGTTGTTTATATTAAAGTTCTTTATATATATATATATATATATTTATATATATATATATATATATTTATATTAAAGTTCCCTTTTATTGCTCCTTTGTTGTTGTTTGGACGAGAGCAGTGTTTCCAAAAGAATGATCTAGAATCTAGAAGGTCATATGTATAATAATCACCTGGAGAGCTTTAAGCCTAATTCTGTGGCCACACCTCCAGAGTTCACCATCAGATTTGGAGCTGGGTCTACAATATCTTTTTTGTTTTTCAAAATAAGTATCCCACACGTTTCCAGAACATTTCATCCATAGACCATATTATTTGAAGCACTGGCAGAGTCCAGAATTCAGTCTTCAAACTGAGCAAGTTGCATGATGAGGTTATCCACTTGCAGGCTTTCCAGGGTTTATACAGTCATGCATGGTTTTAGGGAAATTTACCTCCGGATACTCAGCTTCTGCATGTAGTCTTTCCTAAAGGTGATATTGCTGAAAAAAGTGTATTGTCTTCTAATTTTCCATAACTATCCCCCCCTTTTAAAATGGCTTTTTCCTCATGCTCTAAATGAAGAATAGCATTTTTCTGCCTGCAATGAATCTTTCAGATTTCATTGCCCTTTGGTCTGATTAATTCAAGCACCAAACAAAGGGAAATGTCAAAGTTCATCGATGCTAAGAAAGAGAGCCAAGAGAACAAACAAAAAAGTCAGCATGTTAGTGAAAAGTATAGAAATTTTACTCCAAAGGCTCCTGACTTTGGCCATCTATGTGTCTCTTCATTATCTACCTACCTACCCATCCATTCATCTATCATTAGTATTAGTCAGAGTTCTCCAGAGAAACAGAGCCAATGGAATATATGTATATTGTATTGTATTTATAGATAGATAGATAAATAGATAGATGTTAGATAGATAGATAGATAGATAGAGAGATAGATATTGGTCTATTTATACATCATTAGTATTAATTGGCTTATGCAATTATGGAGGCTGAGAAGTCCCACAAACTGTCATCCGCAAGCTGGAGAGTCAAGAAAGCCAGTGGTAGAATTCAGCCTGAAGGCAGGAGAAGATGCGATGAGCGGTCCCAGCCCAAGCAGTGAGGCAGGAAGAAAAATGAGTAAATTACTCTTTCCTCTGTCTTTTGTTCTATTTGGTCGCTCAGTGGATTGAATGATGGCCAAACATATTGGGGAGGATATGTATTAAAAGCCAATACAGCATAAACAATTATCCAGAAAACATCTTTTGAAACTATTAAACTTGTGATGAAAAATCTCAGGTGACAACTTAAAATGTGTAAGGAGTTAAATAATTTAAATATTATTTTAGTGAATACAGGAGGATATGTATGTGTGTATATGCCTACACACACACACACACATTCACATATATATATATATATATATCTTTGTTTTTGGATGGTTTAAGGATGCTTTAAGGATGGTTGCATCTGTACTGAACTCTTTTCTTTTTACCTGTGTCTATCTGGTATACCACAAGAATACATAGGTCTGGATCTCATGAGGAAATATTTTGGAAATCATGGTCCTAGACCATATCTACTAAGTACCTAAACTAGAGTATAATGTAGATCTGAGTGTGAGGCAGCCATGTTGGGCCCATATGCATATACAGCAAAGAAAGTTGGCACTAGAGAAAAAATAATAAAGCAAATGTAGAAAGAAAAGTAGAGAAGTGATGATGATGATGAGGATAATGATGATAATGATGATGAGAGAGAGAAGCTGCAAAGTTGCCAATAACTTTTCAATTATAATTCCAGCCATTATTAAGATATGGGATCATTTTCTTGCCTTGAAGTTCATGTGCTAATGTTTGCATGTTTCCAATAATTGTCCTTTTCTTAGCTTCAGGTAATTTGAACAGGTATCTCACACTTGTCTCTAAATTGTTCCATGCCTAAGCACATTGCAAATAACTGAGAGAAAAAAGCATTTTAAGACTATTGAGGAAGAATTTAAGAGGCCCCACAAAACCACTGCTGGGATCATAAACCAACAGCACCCATCTCATTAGCCTCATTAATTAGGAAGTTGAAACACCATCTATTCCAACCCCTTCATTTTATAGATAAGGAAACTCTCTATTTGGTCACATTGTATGCAATTAAGTAACAATTTCAAAAATGTACATATTATAGATCTAGATGAAAAGAAATAACCAAACCTTTACATAGAACAGCTTGAAATAGAAATCACTGCTGAATGCAGGCTGGTATTATTCTGATTCATCATAGACAGATGATAATTTAGATTCGAGAGAGATTTTCCCTTAAATATACTTGTACTTCTCACGTGCTGTTTCAGCAATTTAGTTATCTAATGATTTGATTGTATTCATTCCCAAGTCAGGAGCCTAGGTTAAAACATACCTTGTGAATCTCAAATCAGGTTGCCATGGTAATAGAATCTATTCTCCAGCAACTGTGCACTCTCAGCTAACTTGAGTGTCATGTATTTCTCTATGATGCCAAAGAACTATGACAGATTATGGGATTTTTATGTCTTATAGTATAGAATTTAATCGCTCTTCAAAAAGGTTTTTATAGATTGCATTTTACATTATGCATTAATATAGCCCCAAAATTGTATTCATTTGAAAAAATGTTACAAATCTTGACTCCAATTTTGGTACAGGTTGAGATGAGTCATTTTATGCTTTAACCCTGCTCCCTTAGGCACTGTGAAAAAAACTTCAAAGAAAAATTTAAATAAGTTCCGAAACATAGCTTTACTTCCCATTAATACATATTTTCCTTAACGTTTAAAATTCGTCAGCAAGCTCCTTGTGGGCAGAGAATAGGTTCATATTCTTTGACTCACCCAGAGTAACTAGAATACCACCTCAATGCATCTTTAACTAAACTAGGCATGTTATATTCCAAGATAATATTCATGAACACCCATGCTCTCCAGTCCCAAAGTATCTCTGTTTACCTGTTGTGTGGCTTAAAATCCAATGACCTGCACTTCTTGGAAAGACATAAAGCTTCAAGGAAGACAAAGACAAGCAACTCTGAGTAGAAACTTAATCTAATTCCAATCCATCATCAGCATAATAATTATGCTCTACTATAACTGGTCCTCTGCACCTGCAGTTTCCACATCGCAGAGTTCTGCATCCACCCAACTGCCAATCCAAAATATTTAAGAAAAAAAAACAATAAAGGTTTAAAGAATTATTTACAATAATGAAAAATAGTACAAATAAAAACAATATAATGTAACAACTTTTTACATATCATTTAAATTGTATTGGGTATTATAAGCAATTAGAGATGACTTAAAGTATATGGGAGGGTGTTTATAGGTTATATGCAAATAGCATGCCACTTTATATAAGGAACTTGGACATCTATACATTTTGGTATCTGCAGGGGCCCTGGAACAAACAAATCCTCCAAGAACACAGAGGGGCGACTATATTTTCTTGGCATTACAATGCTAGTGTGTTAAGCATTTTATCTAACTGCTCCGTATGAACCTTCAAGGCAAACACATTTTATAGATGAGGGCAGTATGGTTTAGAGAAGATAAAGCAAGTTAGCTGAAGACAAACAACTGTAAACTATTCAAATCCAGGCGTTCTAAGTACCTTCCACTAGTGAGGATATTTCTGGCTACAAGTAAATAAAAATCAGATTCACTCTCAATCCAGAGCTAGGGCAAGGGTAAAGTTAGGCGCCTAGAGCACAAATTTAACATTCACCTCAAGTTCTCACTGTTGTTCTGTCCTGACCTATTCTTTTCCATCCTACTCTGCCCCAGGAGGTTGATCTGTAAGGATCACATCAGAGCTTCCTTCCCCTCTCACTTCCCTATGGGATGGGTTTTTCTGTTGGATCTCAGCAGGAAATCAGAAAAAGCAGGAGAGAGACCTGTCTTCAAGGTAGCCTTGGTTGCTTTCCTTTACAAATTTCCCCAGTCTTTATCATATCATATTTAGTACATAAGGGCCACAGAATAATATATGTTTTATGTTAAGACAGCTGGGTAGAGACACGTGTTTAAAAACCAATGTTAGCCTGCAGATACTGAAATCTCTTACGATATACTTCAGATAATATTATAAATATTACTAATATTCTCTTCAGTTAAATTCACTCAACACTTACTTGGTAATTATTTACTGAAACTCTGAATGACTTTCCATTCTGCTTAATATAAAATTCCATATCCTAAAGTGACATATGATCTTCTACAATCTGACTCCTGACTGCCAGTTGACAGTTGAGGTTGTTCTCCATCATTCAGTCTTTAACTGTCTGCAGTCCAAGGCATAATGGACTTCTAATATCTTTAAGGGTGCCAAACTCTTTTGACTTGAGGCTTTCTTTACAAACAATCCCTCTGCCACGAATTATTTCCCCTAACTTTATTCAGCGGAACAGTTTCTACTATCATATATTTCTTTAGAAGGGCTAAATAAATGAACAATAGTAAAGTATTTAGCTAGTTCTTGGCAAATAACATTCATGCTAGCTATTATTAATTGTCAAGCCTTGTGCTAAGTGTGGGTCATTTCAAAATTAAGAAGATGGCCAGGCATGGTGGCTCATGCCTGTAATTCCAGCACTTTGGGAAGCTGAAGCAGGCAGATCACCTGTGGTCGGGAGTTCAAGACCAGCCTGGCCAACATAGTGAGACCGTCTCTACTAAAAATACAAAAATTAGCCAGACGTGGTGGCACATGACTGTAGGATCAGGTACGTGGGAGGCTGAGGCAGGAGAACTGCTTGAACCCCAGAGGCAGAGGTTGCAGTGAGCCAAGACAGCACCATTGCATTCTAGTCTGGTTGACAGAGTGAGACTCCATCTCAAAAAAAAAAAAAAAAAAAAAAAAATTGGCTGGGCACGGTGGCTCACGCCTGTAATCCCAGCACTTTGGGAGGCTGAGGTGGGTGGATCATGAAGTCAGGAGATCGAGACCAGCCTGGCCAATATGGTGAAACAGCATCTCTACTAAAAATACAAAAATTAGCTGGGCATGGTGGCGGGTGCCTGAAATCTCAGGCACTCAGGAGGCTGAGGCAGAAGAATCACTTGAATCGGGGAGGCCAAGGTTGCAGTGAGCCGAGATAGCACCACTGCACTCCAGCCTGAGTGACAGAGCGAGACTGTTTCAAAACAAAAAAAAAAAATTGAGAAGATAGGCATATGAATGTGTTGTTTTTATAGAGGTATTATTAATTATTATTGTATTGATTGGGAGGAAGTAAGCCAATTTCTCCTAGGGGATATCAGAAAGGCTTACCAAATGAAGAAGGAAACTTGTATGTTGTACTTAAAACCCCAGATCATATGTCTTCTATGTGCAACTACAGAGAATAAAATAAAAGGAAGTAAAATATTTTGAAAGGCCTATCAGAAACCATGCATCTTAAAAGTAAGTTCTGTTATTTCCAAGTGAAAAACATGTAAAGAAAGGTAGAGTGGGTGTAGGATAACGTCTGTTCAAGGAATTTTACCATCATTCTTGGCTGTTCCTGTATTTAGCATTTTTCATCTGGGAAGAAGACTGATGGCATCTTTCTTGAAGATTGTTAACCTTCTTCAAAAAGACTACAATGAGAGGTGCTATATAAATACACAGAAAAATAACTCAGGCATCTGAGCCCCTCCAGATCTCAGAGACGTGACAATGGAAGATTGACTTAGCAAAGCAGAAGCTTGGAGGGGAGAAGAAATCGAAGAGCCATCTGTCAGCTAAAAAGCTAGAAAAACAAATACAATAGCAAGTCACATAACCTCAGTCTTGGCCTTTCCTTTGGCTGATTAACTAAATGTAGAAAAACTGACCTATCTCATTTCTTTGAGTGCTTCAGAAAACAAAACACTTACTCCTCTTACTGGAAGAGCTTCATGTTGCAAATCGTAAGGTGATTATTCCTATAAATAAAATTTTAAAGCCCAATGTGTGCATTTAACGGGTGATTATCCAGAAACATTAAAGGGAGGGAAATGTCCTAGTTGGTGTCATTCACATCTTTCTGAGTCAATCTTTTCATTTATGGAAAATACCACTGTTTTGCATGGGCTTTCTCCCCCCAGGTCCCTGCCATTCGATTCGAAGACATCAACACACATGGGCAACCTTTACAACACACTTGCCCTCTCAGTTCTGTTTAATCCTCCTCTGCAATGAGATTTTCTTAACCTCCTCCATGATCCATGTCCATGAATACACTCTGAATCTTGCCATCCCTAAAACTACTCTATATCCCAAATAATTAATTCTAGTTGCTTAACTGATGTATTTTCAGCTTGATTGCTTCACCACTGCTGTTATATGCAATTGCATTTCCAATCTAGCGGCAACTGTTTTCTTACTCTCCATCTCCCTCTCCATCACCTTCTTCCTCTTCATTTACCCTCCATTTTCAGATTGGACTTTAAATCATCTCTAACCAATAACACTGATTCCACTGATCCTCTTATTTTCATTATCATCTGGCAAAACCTTTATAAAGAAAAAACAATGCCATCTTCTCACTTCTGTACTGTAGTGCTATAAACCGAATGATCTCTACAAAATTTGTATTTTGAAAGCTAGCATCTTATGTGACTGTACATAAAGATAGAACCTGTAGGAAGTAATTAAGATTAAGTGATTTCATAAGGATAGAACCTGTAGGAAGTAATTAAGGTTAAATGATTTCTGTACCCTGGTGCTATAAACCGAATATCTCTACAAAATTTGTATTTTGAAAGCTAGCATATTATGTGACTGTACATAAAGATAGAACCTGTAGGAAGTAATTAAGGTTAAATGATTTCATAAGGATGGGGTCCTAATTCTACATGATTGGTGGCTTTATAAGCGGAAGAGAGAGAAGAGTCTCTTTATTATATAGAAGACCATGGTTTATATATACCAAGGAAAGGCTATGTAAGTACATAGTGAGAGTCAGCTCTCTGCAAGCCAGGAAGAAAGCCCTGCTCTCAGACTTCAGCCTCCAGAAGTCTGAAAAAAAATAAGTTTCTGGTTTTTTAAGCCACCTAGTCTATGCTACTTTGTTATGGTAGCCCAAGCTGACTAACACATCTGGTACCCTAGCATTCTTGGGGGAAAAAGTCATAATACAAAGTTGATTAGTATGACTACAACTTCATGATTACTAACTGAAACCAGGCCTTCATCACAGACTAAAATGACTAATATGTTTATCTTATCAATCAATTTTATATAATGCACAGCAAACAAACATTGTTCATTCTTCCCAAATAGTCATAACCACTTTCCCCTCCCTGTTGTATTTGTTGCATAACTAGCTTTAGTGAATGCCCTCCTTATAACTTTGGGGTTCTTTCCCACTTAGAATCTGAGTGTGGATTTGCTACCTGAGTGTGGATGTGCTACCAATGAGATAATAGCATACTTGATGCAAGCCAAAGCTTAAAAAATGACATGTATGTTTTGTTTGTTTCTATGTTCACCTATGCTGGCTCCATAACAAAATAATGTAGACAGGGTGGCTTAAATGCCAGAAATTTATTTTCTCACAGTTCTGGAGGCTGGAAGTTTAAGATCAGAGCATATCATGGTCAGGTTCTGATGGAGGACCTCTTCCAGTTTGCTGATAGCCCCTGTCTCATGGTGTCTTCACATAACAGAGAGAATGAAAGAAATAGATAGCTTTCTGGTATCTCTTTTTCTAAAGATGTTAGTTCTGTCTGATCAAAGCCCCACTCTTATGATCTCATTTAATCTTAGTTACTTCCTTAAAAGTTTTATCTCTAAATATGGTCACATTGATGGTTGGGGGGGCTTTAATATATGAATTTAGGGGTGACACAAACATTCAGTCCATAACTGTTTTCTTTCCTGGAATACTGCCACTAGTATTAGAACAAGCCTTATCGAACTTGCTGTAGGACTATAGGAAACTTGCAGGGGAAGTGCATGGTCTTAGCTGAAGTCATTCTAGGTCAACCAGCTCATAATTCACCTGGCAGTTGACTACAGGCAGCAAGCCCAGCCCAAAATCAATGGAACTTAGTCCAGATACACTGAACTGCCTTGCCATCCACAAATGCAGGAGAAGTAATAAGTGGCTGCCAATTTGAGCCCCTAAGATTTGAGGTTGGTTGTTTGTTACTCAGCAATAGCTAACTGATAATGCCCCATCACTCTTAGAATACCACATATTCTTGTACAGAGAAAATAGAAGCCATCAAACAGAAATATCCCTTACTTTTTGCTGCCACGTTTACAAATTACTGAAAATGTATCAAATCTCTCCTCAACTTTTCCTTCAGTAAAAAAGAAAATGTATTTCCTCCTATCTAAAGCCAGCTGCTCCATTTGAATTCTGGAACTCTGGAGTCTCTGCATCTTCTTGTTTCCTTTACTTGCCACTCACTCAACAACCTATTGCAACTTGTCTTTTATCTCCTGTCAATAAGCCACAATGTCCCTAGATAAGATCACTAAGGAACACTTCATCATATTTTATTTTTCATTTTCTTGACCTCTCAGTACTTATTCCTCTGGCTTCATAATGCCATCCTTTCATGTTCATCCTCCCACCTCTCTGTCTATTTATTTCAAACTCTTTTCCTGGATCCTTTGCCTCCATCTGGATTTTAGATACTAGAGTTCCTCAAAGATTAGTCTTAAGACTTCTAATATAGTTACTTAGTGTTCTATCCTTAGGTGAGTTCTTCATCATTCATCACCTAATATTGAATACCTCTATATTTACATATCCCAGGCCACTTCTTTAAGCTCTAGATTATACATCTCCAGGACTTCTGGAGATATCTACATCCCAAACTCAACATGTACATGTCTCCTCTTGTGATCATCTCTGTTTTATTATACTAACCTGGCATTCTTCCAGTGTTACCCAGTTAAGTAAATGGCACAGCCATCTGTATTCAGTTTTGCAAGCCAGAATCATCATGTCACCTTGACAACTCCCTTCTCTTCTTCCAATTTCCATTTTCTCCCCCACCCCCAGATGTATGCAATGAATAGCTTATAAAGTTGACCTGATTCCCCAGAAGGGTCACTTTTCCTTGCCATATAAACTTTGGTAACCTCTATTTCTCCTTGCAGTGCTCATAAGAATTTAATTACATCTGTCTTTCCTCTAAAATGTTAACTGTATTTAAAGGGTGGGTCCGTGTTGATATCATTTATCATTCTATCTCCAACACTTAGTAAACTATCTTGAAATTTATAAATATTCAATAAATAAATATTAAAAAATGGTGGAATATTAATACTCATTTGTACATTTTAATCAGCCAAAGAGTGATTTATGTCCTCTCAGAGAAAATAGATTTTATAAGTATTTAAATATCTAAGGCAAAATGTGTTCATGTGGGTTTATCTCTTCCTAGATGGTGTACAGATGTTCTGTGTGGTTAAGAATAATTGCAAGAAAAAATGTTTGGCTACATAAGATTCTACAAGAAAATTATAAGAGCGAACTATGTGGTGAAATTGGTGGGTTATTTTGAGATCAATTTTAATGAGAAGGAGAAAGTACATTGTTCTACAGTATGGCTAAAAAAAAAATAGATGGGCTTTGGAAGCTGATGTTCAAGTGACAAATTCACCATTTAACCTTGGAGATTTACCATCTAATAGCCCCTTTTACTCACATAAAAATATTTTAAGTCTAACCATATATTATAACCACTGGTTTAACTTTTGAAAAATAGAGAAAATGAGTGTCAAACCCAGAGCTTATCAAATGAGAAACAGAATGTGTATGAGTGCTTTAAAACTCCAAAATCTAATGTGTTGCTCAGCAAAGATGAAAGGACATGTATGTAGAAAAAGACAGTAGCAATAAGCAATACCTTCCTCATGGGATTGTTAAAAATATCAAGTGATTGGGAGGGTGAGGCAGTCGGATCACAAGGTCAGGAGTTTCAGACCAGCCTGACCAACATGGTGAAACCCCATCTGTACTAAAAATACAAAAATTAGCCCGACGTGGTGGTACACGCCTGTAGTCCCAGCTACTCAGGAGGCTGAGTCAGGAGAGTCACTTAAACCCGGGAGGTAGAGGTTGCAGTGAGCCGAGGCTATGCCACAGCACTCCAGCCTGGGTAACAGCGAGATTCTGTCTCAAAAAACAACAACAAAAAAATATATAGTAAGTGAGATAATATGGGCGAATACTAGCAGAGGGTTCAGAAATATTAGTTTCCTATCCTGTCTTTTTCCCAGGATACTGGGAGCAGTAAGAAAAATGCTTTTAGAATAGTGATGTGGAAAAAAGAAGTCCTAAGTTCAAATTCTACCTCTGTTCTTCACTAGCTGAACAAATATGGGCAAGTCATGCATTTTCTTTAAGCCTGAGTTGTCTGTCTGCTTAACATGAGTAATAATTAATATATATTCATTCAGTTAGATAACATACACTCAAATTATTGAAGAAATAAACAATTCAATCAGATCATTCATTGGATATTTCTTGAGCATTTACTCTATGCATAGTACTCTTCTAGGAATTGCAGAAATAAAAATGAAGAAAAAATGGTGAACATGGTCTCTATCCTTCTGATACTTAAGAACTATCAGTAAATATTTTTAAAAGAAATAAAAAGATAAATGATAAAGAAATTGTGATACATACCCTACATATAAGTTATTGAGATAGAAAAATAGAAAATACGGGAACTTCTTCGATATAGAGTGATCAAGAATGACCGCTTTCAGCAAGTTATTTTTGCTCTGAGATCAAGCTAAGGGCTAGAAGAGAGTAGAGTGTGTTAAGGTGGAAAATAGGGCTTTGGACTCAGGTTATATTTTATATTGAAATCTAGAAGAATAGAAGCACTCAAATAGCAAACAGATTCAAGTATTTGGCATTTTGTTAACTCTAATGAGATCAGGGTAACTGCCTCAGCCAAGTTTGAGAAAAGAAGCAGATTTTGCCCTTTGCAGTAATAAGATATGCCAACACCACCTCCTGAATTTGATTTTCACCTTTTAACAAGAATGTTTTAGACTCTTTTAATCATCAGTAGTAACCAGAGACCTTTCACATTCACATTGTGTTCATTTTATTTACCAAATGTATATCAGCAATGTTTAGTGGCATCCAACTAATCTGAAAAGAGTATTGTAGATTCTATCACAAATGTTACAGATGCCAAGATTTAATAGAAAATTAGGTTAGTTATGTCCAGGCAACATTGCCTAAGGCACAGACCTCTCTATATTCTCTAAGATGTATTTTGTCTCTAACAACAAGAAACACATATGTACATGTTTATGCAAGTAAACATTTTCATTATTCATTGTCCTCATCGACTGGTTCACAAAAAGACATAGGGGCGGTCCATAGAAGAAGGAACTGTTTAGAATCTCACTTGCTTTTCTGCATTCTAACAGTAGAAATTTGAAATTCATGTTGGAGGCTTTCAGATCCCCAAGTGTTCTGAGTCATCTTTTTCTGTTTCATAAAGAGACAGAATTTTAATCAGGGAGTCTCTATAGATGCAGCAGCCTTGCCAGAACTAGAGAACACGCCTTTGTTATGTCACCCTACCCCAGGGAGAAGAATAAAGAACATTCTAATTTATAGAACAAGTATATGTAGACACTGGTCTTATCGCAATTGTTCAAAACCTCTAGAAGTTATTCCAAAATTCAATCGAACTAAAGCATTAAAATATAAATCCACAAATATTATTATAGCAAAAAATATGTATAATATTAAGCCTATCGCTTCTATTAAGCCCAAAATAATTTTCCTATAATTTTTATTTGTTCATATAATGTGTAGTTTGTACCTTTGTTCATGTACTCATTCATCCATTCATTCTTGCAACAAATATAAATTTTTGTGCCAACTGTGTGCCAGGAATTGTGGTAGTCACTGGGGTTTCAACACTGAGTGATGGAGACATGTTGATTATCCTTGAGGAACTTGAGGAGCTTACTAGAGGAGGGACCAGCTGTCAAACAAACAATTCAATGAGATAGTTAATTACAGATGCTTTATATCCTTTGGGGAAGCATGCATTTTTTTCTTTTTTTATCTTTTTTTTTTTTTTTTTTTTTTTGAAATTGACCTACTGATAGCAAGGAGCAGTTGTCAGAAAAAAGAAATCATTCTCTAAGGGAGAAATATTAAAACACTTAAGTGGGGAATCAATAAGAACTTGCTAGGCAAAAATGAATTGGGGTAAAGGAAGGGAGATTTGTGGGCCAACCAAAGGACTGACTTTGTGAAGATGTCTCTGCAAGGAGACAAAGGACTCTGCAAATTGAAGGAATTCCTTTGCATCTGAAACTTGGTGAGCAAGGGTGATCATCTCAAAATATACTGAGCTATATAAGGCATGTTAAGAAATTTATATCCTTATTCAAAAGACAATAAGAAGCCAATAAACATTTTAAAATACAGCAGCTACATAAAACCTACATATATTTTTTAAAAGATCACTCCGAATGCTGGGTGAAGGATAAATATGGATACATATTCTGTGCTAAAAAAAAACATTGCTTAAACATTTAAGGTGCAATAAAATCATTTTAAATTTTAAAATAACACCAAGAGAAGGGGTATTCTAGGTGTTACAAAAACAAGTTTCCAGAAAATAATGTTAACAAGATGGTAGAATAGGAAGTTTCATCTCCCATCCACCAACAGACACACACATTTGGCAAACACCATAGACAAGAGTACATTCGTGGGAGCCGCAGAGTCTAGCCACAGAGTGTAGTATCCCAGTGAGACAAAAAAAAAAAAAAATTCTATGAGTAGACACACTAAAGACGATAATAGAGCAGTTTCATATTATGTGCATTACCCTTCCTCCAAAGTAGCACAGCTCAGTGCCAAGAGAGGCACCCTCAGCCTGCAATTTCTCACATGGGGAGAAGTGGGAGAAAAGTAAGCATTAGGCTTCCCCAGTCTTGTGGGACACTGCCCAGGAGGCCTGCTTCTGTTTCATCCCACCAGAGCACTGAGAGGTCAGCACAACTAAATCATCTGGGGACAGCTAAAAGCAGGGAAATGACAAGGGAGCATATAGCAACCATTAGGCAGTTCTCGAGAGCCAGCTGCAAATCCTGCTAACCTGCTACCGGATTCCCCCAAGTGGCCCACCCACGATCCCTGCAATATGACTCGCCTGAGGAACCCTCTCAACCAGCCAACACATGCCTCCAGCACTCTATGTACTTGCTCACCCACTCCTGCATTGTTGGCACCCCATATGTTTCTATTAATGGCCCACATGAGCTTTTGTAGGCAGTACATGGATCTCAACAGCAGGTTCAGATCTTAGCAGCTAGCTTTACCCTGTTGGTTTTGGGAGGGGGCAAACTATGGTGAATGTTTTAAGGCACTGTCCTAGAAAAATAAATGAGAGGGTCTAAGAACCATCCTGGCTTTGCAGGATCAAGAGAAGACACATAATCCTCAGATTTTCCCACTCAAATATAACAAGACAAGCGGAGCAGGAACCTATTCATAGTAAAGGCCTTGGAGGCCACTAACATCTCTAAGCAGGTTGACTGGTGAAGGTCTTTCTCTTCAAAGGTAGTCAGTAAAGACTAGAGAAAGGAACTGCTTCCTCAAGTGCAAAAACAGCAATGCAAGACTTAGAGGAACATGAAGAGTCAAGGAGTTATAATAACATGAAAGAAACAAAATCAAGCTCTAGTGACTTACCCCAGACAAATAGACATCTATGAATTGCCTAACAATTCAAAACAATCTTTATAAATAAGTTCAGTGAGCTCCAAAAGAACAGAGAGAGCAATTAACAATATCAAGAGGACAGTGCATGAACAAAATGGCAAAGTCAATAAAGAGATATAAATCATTATTTTAAAACCCAGAAATTATGTATTGAAGAATTCAATGTTTGAAGTAAAAAGTTCAAAAGAGAGACACAAGAGCAGAATCAATCAAATGAAAAAGAGAGTCAATAAATTCAAAGACAGATCATTTGAAATTATATAGTCAGAGGGGAAAAAAAAGAAAAAGAATGAAAAAGAATGAAGAAAGCCTATATGACTCATGGGAAACAATGACTTAAACCAATATACACAGAAGGAGTCCCAGAAGAAGCCGAGAAAGATGGGACAGAAAGCTTATTTAAAGAAATAAGACAGAAAGTCTTCCAAATCTGAAGAGGGAAATGAGCATCCCTTTATGAACACTCGTGATGCTTAAGGAACTCCAAATAGGTTAAAGATAAAGAGGACTTCATTGTGACACATTGTAATAAAATTATCAAAGATCAACAACAAAGAGAATGTTGAAAATAGCAAGAGAAAAGTTACTTATCAAATATAAAGGAACCTACATAAAATTATCAGGAGATTTCAACAGAAACCTAGCAGGATAGCAGAGTAGGAAAATATATCCAAAGTGCTAAAGGAAAAAAAAAAGCCAACCAAGAATGTTATACATTGTGAAGTTGTCCCTTAGAAATAAAGGAGAAAGATATGGACTTTTTCAGACAAAAGAAAAAGAGGGAGTTCATCAGCACTAGATCTAGCGTATGTAAAAAACGCTGAGTTCTTCAAGCTGAAATGAAAAGACTCAAATCAGCACCATGAAAACATATTAAGGTTAAAAGCTCACTGGTAAAGGTAACTATATAGTAAAATGAATCATGTTGTAGTGTTTTAATGATGGTTTATATTTTAAGCTTAACTCTAATATAAGATTGAAAGACAAAAGTGTTTAAAACAACTATGGTAACAACAATGTGTTAATGGATACGAATATGAAAATATGTAAATTGTGACATCAATAACATAATACATGAGGGAGGAAGTAAAGTTACAGACAATCAGACAATCAGGGAGGTGTTGTATGTGATCAAAATTTTGTTGTCATCAGACTAAAATACACTTGTATAAATAAAAAAGTGACATATAAGCTTCATGATAATCATAGAGAAAACTTGAAGTAGATACACAAAATATAAAGAAATAAATCAAAGCACACCACAACAAAAAAACTTATCAAATCATAAAATAAGTCAGTAAGAGAGAAAGAAAAGAACAAAAGAAACACAAAACAGAAAACAAGAAAAAAATGGCAATGAACAAAATGGCAATATATAGGCTCTATTACTTACCTATCAATAATTATTTTAAATGTAAATATATTAAATTATCCAATCAAAAGTAAAGATAGGCTGGGCACCGTGGCTTATGCCTGTAATCTCAACACTTTGGGAGCCCAAGGCAGGCGGATCATAAGGTCAAGAGTTAGAGACCATCCTGGCCAACATGGTGAAACCCTGTCTCTACTAAAAAATACAAAAATCAGCTGGGTGTTGTGGCACATCCCTGTAGTCCCAGCTACTCTGGAGGCTGAGGCAGGAGAATCATTTGAACCCAGGAAGTGAAGGTTTCAGTGAGCCAAGCTGAGATCACATCATTGCACTCCAGCCTGGTGACAGAATGAGACTCCACCTAGAAAAAAAAAGAAAAAAGAGAAAAGGTAACTGAATGGATTAAATATTGAAACCCAACTATATGCTGCCTAGAAGAAACTCACTTCACCCTATGAGACACATAAGCTAAAAGTGTAAAGAATGGAAAAAGATATTCCATGCAAATGAAAACCGAAGGAAAACAAGGTAGCTATATTTATATCAAGCAAAATAAACTACACATCAAAAATACTAAAAGAGACAAGGGCATTATATAATGACTACGGAGTTAACTCTTCAAAAGTTTGTAACAATAGTAAATATATGCACACACATTGGTGTATTTAAATATATAAAGCAAAAATTAACATATTTGAAAGGAAAAATTTAAAGTGATACGATAATAGTGGGGAACTTCAGTCCCCACTTTTAAAAATGGATAGATCATCCAGACAGAAAATCAATAAGAAAACATCAAATTTGAACTATACTTTAGACCAAATGAACCTAACAGACATAAAGAACATTCCATTAAACTTCAAAAAAAAATCATCCTTTTCTTAGGGCCACATGGAATATTTTCCAGTATAGATCATATATTAGGACACAAAAGAACTTTTAACAAATTTAATAAGATTGAAATTTTATCAAGTTTTTTTTTCTGACTGCGATAGTATGAAACTAGAAATCAATATCATGGGTAATCTTAAAAAAACTCACAATTATGTGGAAATTAAACAAGACAGTTCTGACCAATCAATGTGTCAAAGAAGAAATCAAAGGAGGAATCAAAAACTATCTTGAGACAAACAAAAATGAAAACAAAGTATACCAAAGCTATGGAATGTGGCAAATGCAGTTATTTGATGGAATTTTATAGCAATAAATGCCTACATTAAAAAAGTAAGTATCTCTAATAAATAATCTACCATTATACTTCAAGGAACTAGAAAAAGAACAAACTCAGACCAAAGTGGGCATATGGAAGAAAGTGATAAATACTAGAACAGATACAAATAAAATAGAGATAGGGAAACAATAAAAAAAAACAAAATTAAGAATTAGATTCTTTAAAAGTTAAACAAAATTGACAAACCTCTAACTAGGCTAAGAAAAAAGACAGAAGAATTAGTTAAATATAATTATAAATGAAAGAGGAGGCATTACAACTGATACTATAGAAATAAAAAGAATCATAAGAGGATACTATGAATAATTATATGCCAATAAGTTGGATTACCTAGAAGAAATGGATAAATGCCTAGAAACACACACCTAGCAAGACTGAACAATGAATAAATAGAAAATCTGAACCAACCTATCATAAAGAAGAAGGTTAAGTTAGTAATCAAAACACCCCAGCAAAGAAAAGCCCAGAATAAGATGACTTAACTAGGGAATTTTACCAAACATTTATAGAAGGCTAATGCCAACCTTCTCAAACTCTTCCAAAACATTAAAGAAGAGAGGACATTTCAAACTTACCTTATTAGACCAATATTATTGTTACAGGAAAGCCAAATAAGGACACCACAAGAAAAGAAATACATGCCAAAATTGCTAGTAGCCATTGATGTAAAAATCATCAACAAAATACTCCCATACCAAATTCAATAGTGCATGAAAAGAATCATATCATAATCAAGTATGAGTTACTTGTGGGATAAGGATGGTTCAACATATGCAAATCAATAAATACACACCACATTAACAGAATTAAGTATAGAAATCATGGTCATCTAAAAGAAGCAGAAAAAACACTAGAAAAAATTAAATGTTCATTGATGATTAAAACTCTTAGGTAGAAAAAAAAATGTGGCTGAGTGTGGTGGCTTATGCCTGTAATTGTAGACCTTTGGGAGGCTGAGACAGGAGGATTTCTTGAGGCCAGGAATTCAAAACAAGCCTGGGCAACATAGCAAGAACTTGTCTGTGTGTGTGTGTGTGTGTGTGTGTGTGTGTGTGTATGTATATGTATATATACATACATATATATATATATATATATATATATATATATATATATATATGGCAAGCCCACAGCTAACATCATACTCAATGGTCAAAAGCTGAAAGCATTTTCTCTAAGATTAGGAATAAATTTAGATTCCCACTCTTGTCATTCCTATTAAGCATAGTACTGGAAATCTTATCTAGCCATTAGGACCTATAACAAAAAGTCTAGCACTTAGGCAAGAAACAGAAATAAAAATCATTCAGTTTAGAAAGAAAGAAAGAAAATTATCTCTTTATGACATAACATTATATGTAGAAAACATAAAGCTTCCTCCAAAAAATATTAGAACTAGTAAACAAATTGAGGAAAGTTGCAAGATATAAAATCAACACACAAAAATTAGTTGCATTTTTATACACAAACAACAAACTGAAAAAAAAATCAAGAAAACAGTGTAATTTAAAATAGCAGCAAAAAATTTAAAATACTTAGGCATAAATTTAACCAGGGAGGTGAAAGTTGTGTACACTGAAAACTACAAAACATCAATGAAGAAATTGAAGTAGGCACAAATTAACAAAAAGATATTTCATGTTCATAGATCAGAAGAATTTGTATTGTTAAAATTTCTGTATGACACAAAACAGTCTCCACATTCAGTGCAATTGCTATCAGTATTCCAATGATATTATCACCTTTCCTGATTTCAAATTATGTTACAAAGCTATAGTAATCAAAAGTGTATGGTACTAACATTAAAGAAAAAAAACCAGATAGACCAATACATTAGAATGGAGAGCCCAGAAATAAATAAATATGACCTATGCATATAAGGTTTTTACAAGGGTACTAAGAACATACAATGGGGAAAGAAAAATCTGTTAAATAAATGGTAATAAGAAAACTGGATGGCCACAGGCAAAAAAAAAGAAAAAAAAAAAAGAAAAAAATTGAACCCTTATCTAATACCATATACAAAAATCAAATCAAATTGATTTAAATACTTAAACATTAGAACTGAAACCACAAAACTCATAGAAGTAACCATAGGAAAAATGTTCCTTGACATTGGCAATGTTTTTTTGGATGTGACTCAAAAAAGGAAATGGGGCCAGACGCGGTGGCTCACACCTGTAATCCCAGCACTTTGGGAGTCCGAGGCGGGTGGATCACGAGGTCAGGAGCTCGAGACCATCCTGGCTAACACAGTGAAACCCGTCTCCAGTAAAAATACAAAAAATTCTCTGGGTGTGGTATATGAAACATATATAAATAAAACATCCTTTTAATATAAAACATATATATAAATAAAACATTATCTTTTATATATAAAATAATGGCTATTGTTATGAAACTATATATATATACATATATATAAAATGTTGGCAAGGATGTGGGAGAAAAGGAAACCCTTGTTTACTGTTGGGAATGTAACTTGGTGCAGTAATTACAAAAAACAGTTTGAAGCTTCCTCACAAAATTAGTAGATCTACCATATAATCCAGTAATCCCATTTCTGGATATATAACCAAAGGAATTGACATTAGGATCCTGAAGACATATCTGCATTCCTATGTTCATTGTAACAGTATATTTTTATTCCTTATTCTTACTCTTATTCTTATTATTGAGCTGGAGTCTCACAGTGTTGCCCAGGCTGGAATGCAGTGGTATGATCTTGACTCACTGCAATCTCCACCTCCGGGGTTCAAGTGATTCTCCTGCCTCAGGCTCCCAAGTAGCTGGGATTACAGATGGATGCCCAGCTGATTTTTGTAGTTTTAGTAGAGATGGGGTTTCATTTTGTTGGCCAGGCTGGTCTCAAATTCCTGGCCTCAAGTGATCTGTCCACCTCGGCCTTCCAAAGTGCTAGGATTACAGGCATGAGCCACCTTGTCTGTGCCTCACTGTAGCATTATTTATAAAAGCTAGAATATGGAAACAACAGATGAATTTATCAAGAGATGAATGAATATAGAAATTGTGTTATGTATGTATATTAGAATATTATTCAGCCTCAAAAAAGAAGGAAATCCTGCTATTTACAACACATATAGACCTGGAGGACATTAAGTGAAATAAGCTAGAAAAATACTGCGTGTTCTAAATTATATGTGGAATCAAAAGTAGTTAAATTCATGGAAACAGGCAGTAGAATAGTGGTTGCCAGGGGCTGCCAAGAAGGAAAAATGGAGAGGTGATCTTTTTTTTTTTTTTTTAAGGAGACTTGTTCTGTCACCCAGGCTGGAGTGCAATGTGCAATGGCACAATCTTGGCTCACTGCAATCCCTGCCTCCCCGGTTCAAGCACTTCCCGTGCCTCAGCCTCCCAAGTAGCTGGGATTACAGGCATCTGCCACCAAGCCCGGCTAATTTTTGTGTTTTTAGCAGAGACAGGGTTTTGCCATGTTGGCCAGGCTGGTCTCAAACTCCTGACCTCGGGTGATCCGCCTGCCTCGGCTTCCCAAAGTGCTGGGATTACAGACGTGAGCCACTGCCCGGCCAAGAGGTGATGTTTTAAGGGTACTAATTTTCAGTTATACAAGATAAATAAGTTCTGGAGATACATCATACTACCTACAGCTAATAATACTATATCATATATTTAAAATTGCTAAGTGGGTATGTGGGTATGTTAACTCTTACCCAAACAAACAAAATAAACAAAACAAAAATAACTATAAAAGGAGTAGGAGGAGGTAAAGGAAATTTTTAAGTTGTTATTAGTGGTGATAGGGATGGGTATATACTTATCCCCAAACTCATCAAGATGTGTGTATATTAAATGTGTACAGCTTTTTATATGTCAGTTTTATCTCAATAAAGTGGTTTCAAAAAACCAAAAATGAAACAAATTCCCAATCCCAATTCCAAACCAGTCATTCACATAGCAAATCTGTATGCTATTTATGATTTTTTAAAAATGAAACACAAATATTTCACCTAATTTGTTTGACCTGTATTTATAACAGCACTTCTCAAATCATTGTCATCAGAACAGCAACATAAACATGAAGTGGGACCTTGGAAGAAACAGAAATTCTCTGGTCTAACACCATACCTACTGAATCAAGCCTTCCAACTTATCTTATTCTGATGCAGATTCAAGTTTGAGAACTGCTAAGTGTTGAGAATAACTGATTTATACAAATGACAGAAGCAAATACTAATGAATTTTTCTAGACAGCGTTGTTGGTTAAATTCTAACAATTATTATTCTTTAGATGTTAATAGACATTAAAGTTGGAGGGACTTCATGTCTGTTTAAAATGACTCATTCTACAGATGGCACACTGAGGCTCAGGGAGGGTGACCTTGCTTTGATCACACAGTGTTTCAGGGCAAAGACTGAGATCATACGATACCTGGTATTCAGTGTTTGTCACTTAGTATGACTCTGGGTCATTTAACTTTCTGGACTCAATTGCTTCATCTATAAGTAAAGATAGTAAGAGTGTACATTTATTTCCTGTTGTGTTCTGAGGATTAAGTAATAGTGAAGCATATTACCCATGGACTTGCACACAGTAAAAGAACTCAGTAAACGGTAGGAATTTATTGGTTCAAAGATATTGTCTCCCTCATATTTGATGATTCTTTGAGTGGAATGTCTTATAAATGAGTGTGTAGTAATGATTTTACTTTTTTTCAGAATAGTTGTTACTAAATCAATGGTGTCATGTACAACAAGTGATGAAACCTTAAAATGGGGTAAATATCCCATTATTGCCTTTGCTATGATTTCAATTCCAATGTTCAAGTCTCTTTGTGACTAGGTTTAATTCCATTGTTATGCAAGACCAAATGGCAACATCGTGGGAGATTGTTGAACAGGCCAACTCTTTGTTGCCTTAAATCCTGTACATCAGTTGTTCCCTCTGTCTGATAGGCTCTTTCCCCACATAGACATAGAGCTGGTTTCTTCAAATTATCCCACTTCTGTTTGAATGTTCACCTCCTTGTAAAAGAATTTCCCAAACAATCATTCTATAACAGTCACAATAGGCATTCTATTTTATTTTCATTATTGAACAAACATCTTTTTGTCATGTCTAATTTTGTTGTGTTGTTTTGCCTATTATCCACCTATTCCATTGGAACGTAAGGTCCCTAAGAGTTCAAAGCCATAAACCCAGTAAACCAAACAATAAGAACTTAATAAGTATTTCTTGAATGACAAAGGTAAGGTTAGATCAGGGGTTTTACCAGGACATTGATAAATTTGCCACATAATGAAGAAGTTAGTGTGGCTATAATTACTAGTCTCCAACAAGAGTGATTATAACAAAAGTTTTATTGAATGATCACTCTATCAGACAATATGGTAAACATTTTATGTACATAATGTTGATTGTGAAGTTATTAATTCCATTTTATAGATGAAGAACCTGCGTAGGCTTGTGAAATAAGTTGCCCAAGTTTACAAATCAAGAAGGGACATCTTCATCTTCAATCAAGGCAACCAAACCCCTACAGAACCTATGCTCTTGTCCTATGCATTACAATTACTTCCAAAATGCAAACAAAAGCAGAAGTAATAATTAAGATAGGCAGTGAGAAGGGAAGAGGCCGGAAGCTTGTGCTGCAAAGTACTTACTCTTGAAACAGAAAGATCCTGCCAAGAATTGTAAAAAACAGTAGCCACTGACATCTGGGAACTATGTAATGCTCACAGCTAGCCTCCAAAGTTACAACAAGTGGGCCTGACAATCACAGCTAGATGATGTTTTTCTCCCGCTCACCGTAAAAAAACTCATAAAACATCAAGAAGTCATTCTGAGATCATTAGAAACTGATTCAAAAACAATATCTCAGCACATCACTTAACACTTCACATAACAGCAAGTATCTTCCACTCTCAGCCAAAATGAAGGATTGCTGCTTCTTTACCAATTAAACTTTATTATCTTACTGATCTCCCCTTCCTATAGATGGGGTATATTAAAATATTCAATTGTAGAATTGCCCCCATTTTGACAGAACAAATGTAGAGCAAACCCCTGCTTCCTTAGACACCTCTCCAAATTACCTAATCAAAACCCAAATTCTTAAACAGATTTTTCTAACCTGTCTTGCTCAGATACCTTATGGTTCCCTATGGTGTGTTGAAGCAATAAAAAATAAAGCCACCTGTTCAAGCACAAGTCTGTTCCTGGTGATCTTTGGCTAAAGGGAATTGAAAATTGTGAGGGCTGATAGGGAAGTAGGAAGCTAAGGAAGTGTGTTGTATTTATCGGGTGATCACCTGAATCATTTGGAAGAGATGTCCTTTAAAAAAGGTTGTTCATTCTAAAAATCCCAATTTTGTTATGCTTTGTCAGATTCTTCAAAGATAGGTGTTAGAATTTTCGTTCTTGATTTAGATTTGCACTGACTGATTAATGCGTATTGAACTATCTTCTAACCGGGAAACCATTTTTAAGTCCTTTTGTAGAACCCTCCCATTGCCATATGAAATCTGTTAAAATATATCTCCATCCTACATTAAATACATGTTTTGTTCTAAATATTTGAAAATATTTTGTTATTTTACTTTTAAAAATAATTAAGAACTGAGAAATGTGTTTTATTTATGGTTGACTGACATTTTAAGCAATTATTTCACAAGCCTGAGAAATCTTTCACTGTTAGAAATTAATCCTGCAACAGGCTTTCAAACATAATGAAAATTTTATAAATATTAACTATGGCAGTTAATGAGGCTAACATAATATGTTGTTGAAATATTTATTAATTTTCATCTTGTGGTTTAAATTTCAAGTTGATGATTTTGTTTGTTCTCTAGGTCTTAGATATTTTCCTAGGCCCTTGAAAAGTACTTAGGCCCAAACATATTCTCTATTGTGCCTGACAGTTGAAGTTTCCCTTTATCTAGGTCCCCTTTAGATACTTCTTATTGTTAGAACTTAGTTGAAAAATAATATTTCTGACATCTACTTATTTAGTTATTAATTTATTTGTATTTAGAAAACACATTAAGTATACAGAAAAGTTGTAAGCAAATATGGGATACACTTTTTTCCCTGAACAACTTAAGAGCAAGCTGTTAACATAATACCCTACCACCCCCATCATTTTTTAGTGTGTATTAACTACCAACAAGGATATCTTCCTATTTAACTTCAATATAACTACCAACCTCAGGAAATTAACACTAACACATTACATTACTACCACCTAATCTTTGAATCTCGTTCAAATTTTCATGCTGCCGCAATAATAACTTTACTGGCACAATATTCAGTTTAGAACCATGCACAAACTTCTGTTAGGTCTCTTTAGTTCTTCAGTCTTTCATTGACTTTTATGAATTTGACACATTTAGAGATTACAGGGCAGTTATTTTGTAGACTTTCTCTGCAATTCAGTCTACGTGATGTTCCCTCTTCAACAGAATTAGGTCTGCCTCCATAGGACAGAGTAATACTGTGTTCTTTGCATTGCAACATATTGGGTAACATGAAAATTCAGTTTGTCTTGTCCTTGATAATGTACAATTTGATTGCATCACAAAGGTACTGTGTACTGGGTTTTTCCACTATAAAAATCATGAATTATCCCTTAGTGTTTCTATTGATTTTGTGCAAAAGAACTTTCAAATTATTTAAATATTCCATTCCTTATTATGTCTATACATTCATCTATCTAAACTACTAATTAATACTTATACCTCCAATTTCAAATAAATACCACCAAATCTCTTTTACTTTTCCCTTTACCATCTGTAATTCTGTCCTCCATCAATGAGAAGCCCAGCTCCCATTATCCCTAATGTGTATATTGATTTAGTCAACCACCCTATGTATGACTAATCACCAACCATTACACTGCCTCTGACTGGCTGGGTGGCCTCCTTACTCCAGTCAGACTCTAAACCCCAAGCTGTGTAAAACTTCTATACAGATAGACTCTTTCCCCTGGTCAGTTCCAACACCCTCCTCTGCTCCAACGAATGGCTTTAAGACTAACTCTGTCTTAATAATAATCCTAGGAATGAAAGAGAGGAAAGAGGATTGAAGAGAGGAAGGGAAGGAAAGAAGAAAGGCATGAAGAAGGGCTATCTGGCATGTTTGCATGTTTGCATTGCCATCAGTAGGAAGCTTTCTTTCCCTTCTGGAAATTTGTTACTCATCCTCCTTTCCACATCCCTTCCCCAAAATTAAATCGAAGACTAGCCTTACACACTCCACACTCCCTCATGAGAGGGCTATGAAATTAAGTGTGCATATCAAATAATTACAACCATATATGTATCTACATAATAATGGTTCTATGTTATTATAATTCATATCTCCATATACACCAGGGGAGGGTCTTAATTATAGAGTTACAACTCACTGACATATCATATTCAGTTTTAAAGTGTGCCAGAGATAATTTTCTGCTTCTTATAAAGTAACAAGTTTGGGAATAATGTAATTAGAGTGGATTCAAAATGGTTTTCATAAGAAAGTCACTTTCTGATATCCTTTCTTGAGTGGGAGAGGGTGGGAAGGTTTATAGCTTGAGCAATGCAAATTGTCATTACATTTTTATTACCTTCACAGCAACCTGTTATCCCTATATCGTAGGAGTTTGTCATCTATCTTGTTTCTTGTGGCGAGTTAAATAGGTTGAGGCCTTGAAAAGGATTCATAGAATATCAATGGTATATTTAATCTTTGAGCTTAATTTAATTCATTGATTATTTTAAATACAGATAAAATACCATATTGCATTTCTTATGATTGTTGCATTAAGTAATGTCTGTAAATGCTTACCAAGTACATAATAAGTGTTCACTAAATTGAAGTGATTTTCATTGTTAGCATAATTCTTTCACTACTAAGGGTAGTGGTGGAAATAATGGAACTTAGATCACTTGAATTTTACTTATATTCCTCTTATCAGATCATTGTCTCCCTGGTTTTCTATATTTTGTATTTCATGTCTTTCTTGCAATACAAAGTAGAAAATCTTGTATATAACATATAAGCTATAGAAAAAGATAATATATTTATCTTTAAAAAAAAGGCATTCAATCTTATAGCCCTTTTGTTGGGAGAAATGTCTTGTGTCTCTTGGATTTTTGCAGATTTTGTGAAGAAACATTGACAGCTTCTGTTCCAGACTACACTTTGAAAGCTGTTTGGATAGCAAACAGCCTTGGTAAATACAGAAAGCATATTCTTGTATGACAGAGAGAAGATTTATTTTTAGGCCTGGATTAAAAAAAATGATGTCTGCCGGGTGTCATGGCTCACGCCTGTAATCCCAGCACTTTGGGAGGCTGAAGCAGGTGGATCACTTGAGATCTGGAGTTTGAGGCCAGCCTGGCCCACATGGTGAAACCCCATCTCTACTAAAATACAAAAATTAGCCGGGCATGATGGCGGGCGCTTGTATTTCCAGGTATTCAAGAGGCTGAGGCAGGAGAATCGTTTGAAACCCGGAGACGGAGGTTGCAGTGAGCCAGGATGGCGCCACTGCACTCCAGCCTGGGCAACAGAGCAAGACTCCCCCTCAAAAAGAAAAAAAAAAAAAAAAAAAAAGATGTCTTTCTTTAGGGTAAAAGTTGGAAAGGTTTTCCAGTAGCTCTCTTATAAGATTGAGGCTCTCTAAAATTGAGATTCCTCAGCAGTCCTCCCTTGCATCACACTCATGGGACCAGGGAGGCAGAGGCAAAGGGAACTGATGGAAATATGAAGCCCACACTGCCTGCTGTGCCATGAGTAATAATAGTCTTTTGTCTCTCACCCAGGAGTATTGTGTCTTCTGCCAGCCTCCATAAAAGTGTGGGAGGCTAACTTGTAAGTCTGCAAGTAGTGTAATCTTATATCCTTCACAATTATTCACACTTTTGTATACCATTTTTGGTTCTTCATCTTATTCTCAATCCTCTCACAGTAAATTCACGAAGTTTCTCATATAATATCATGGAAAAATATCTTCAGTGGCTTTGCAAATTCTTTGTTATTTTAATTTCTCAAAAATCCATTTAATAAAAACCCAACAATCCAGCTGATAGGATATTTGAGGAATCTGCTTTAATACAACAGAAAAATACCTAAATAATTTCATAAAGAGAGAAACTCCTATTGAGCTAGGATTCCTACAACTTGTCTGCATTTCTGGCAGCTTTTTCTTTCTTATAAACTCACAATGTGGGGATGATCATCTGTCCATTCCAGATGCCCCAAGTGCCTTCTTTACAGGAATTACTTTTATTAAACAGTCAAGTGTCTAGGAGACCCACATTTTCAATGATGAGCTCTACAGAGCCTAAGAACAAACAATTTTTAGAATTCTCAGGTTCATCTTGTCTGCAATTAAGAGCTGGGGTGAAGCTTTCAGGAGAAAATTTTCACCTTCTAACAGGAGCAGAGAATTTATAGCCCACTATTTCTATTATTTCTATTAAGTGAAAAAAACTAG
This sequence comes from Homo sapiens, assembly GCF_000001405.40. Lineage (NCBI taxonomy): Eukaryota > Metazoa > Chordata > Mammalia > Primates > Hominidae > Homo > Homo sapiens. The sequence goes on from NC_000005.10 coordinate 162,407,384, forward strand.
AGCACCATGAATTTAAAGCTGTTTTAATAAAATATTATAGCCTGACATAGGTTCTCAAATCATTGACGCACTTCATCCACCCAGGACCTTCAACAGACAAATTTCCAGCTTTTATAAATTCCTAATAACGTAACTATTCAGCGCCTCTCAGGATACAAATGAAAAATGTAGCTGCACAATAGATTTTACAAGGGCATGCTCACTAGCAAAGTGGAATTTGATTACATTAATGCAGACATAAGATAGCAATAGGTCTTGATAGGTCACATGTTTTATATGTCCATGAAAGGAGTCCCACATCCTTGGCAAGAGGGAGTTCTTTTCAAAATTATTTGCTGCCCTTGGTTGGGTGATGGCTAACATTCATTTAGTGATTCAACAAATTTATACTGAACTCATTCTGCATGGCCAGCACTAAGCCCTGAGGGCTACAGTGGTGTACAAGACAGATTCATATTCTGCTCTCTGAGTTCACAGCCGGGTAAACTACCAATTACCAGTTATAAAATAGTGGCTTTGATAAGTGCTATGCATGACAACGATGTGTGATAAGTATGAAGAGATGCTTTCTGTCAGGTTGTGAAGAGCTCCTGTTTGAGGTCAGTTGTTGTGGGCTTTGTTCTTTGAGAGGTTGCAGTCAACATGATTCTTTAAGACCAGAACCCTGCACACTTCTTGGGCTGTATTTCTTACATTCCTTTTCTATTTTAACCATATCCCATCTTACCTACTTCCAGCATAGTGGTCATATTTAATTTTTACAAAACCATTTTGCCACTTGCTGCCAACTATGTTCTTTATAAAGCAGACTTTGAGATGGAGGCTAGTGTTCAGAGGGGATGCTTAGGAGAACTTTGGAGATTAATACTTATGGCAGGTAAGGGAAGGAAGCAGGATTAGACAGAAATATTGAACTGTGATACAAAGTCAGCAAAGACTTTAGTCAATCACATGGGAGCTCTGAAGCTGAGGTAGTCCTTCAGCATTGCCTTGAGTTGGAGAGAAACTGTTAGCTCTCTGTACTTCCAAGTTGACCAGTCTTTGGATGCAGACTTCTCTAGGCAATCAATATGACCTTGAACACAGTTGTTCTCTTGAGTCAAGGCACTTCTCAAAGACAGCTGTCAGCTAAGGTCTGTCTGCTGGCAGCACTTCCAGCAACTAGGGGAAATAAATATTTTCCTTCATCTTCAAAGAACAAAGTGGGTGATTCATTGTGGCATCCACTACAGTTGTTATCTCTCTTGTGTACAGAGCTTCATATATCCTGTCTCCACTGTCTGAAACAGCTTTTTTTTGAGATGGAGTTTTGCTCTTGCTCCCTAGGCTGGAGTGCAATGGCGCGATCTCAGGTCACTGCAGCCTTGGCCTCCTGGGTTCAAGCGATTCTCCTGACTCAGCCTGAGTAGCCTGGATTACAGGCATACGCCACCATGCCTGGCTAATTTTTTGTATTTTTAGTACAGACAGGGTTTCTCCATGTTGGTCAGGCTGTTCTCGAACTCCCAGCCTCAGGTGATTCACCCACCTCGGCGTCCCAAAATGCTGGGATTACAGGCGTGAGGCACCACGCCCAGCCTGAAACAACTTTATACCATGTTTCTCTTAATATCCTTTACACAACATTTGAGTCTTAGAATAAATGTCTTCCTCTTGTAAATTTCTCTTGATAGACTCTTCTTAGAATTTTGTTCTTTTCTTTCTGCAGCACCAAATGTATAAGGGGATACAGAGAGTAAAAGGACAACTAAAATATACATTTTGTGCTACTTGAAGACATGAACCATTCATTATTGTATCACTAATGCTTATCATGGCTGCTACAAAGCAGAGTACTGATAAATATTGGTTGAATAAACGGTTAAATGAAAGGAAGGCAAGAAGGAAGAAAGGAAAGAAAGAAGGGAGGAAGGAAGGGAAGGAGTATGAGCTTTATAGATAATGAAGACATTACTTAAATTCCATGTGGTTTTGGATAAGTTATTTAGTTTCTTTGATTTTTCTCTCTTCCTTATGTAAAATGGGAATAACTCCTACCATTAAAAGATTGTAATGTAACTGTTACAGAACAGATGTCAAATAGATTTTGATTCTTTTTTTCTTCTCTCCTCACTGTCAATGCATGTATTGTAATGTCCAAGGTGTCTTCTATCTCTAACGTTCTGTAAGTCTACGTGAAGAATAATGGCTATTCTAATACCACAGAAAGATAAAATATTGTCAATTGGCCAGGCCAGGTGGCCCACACCTATAATCCCAGCACTTTGGGAGGCTGAGGAGGGCAGATTACCTGAGGTCAGGAGTTTGAGACCAGCCTGGCCAACATGGTGAAACCCAGTCTCTACTAAAAATACAAAAATTAGGCAGGTGTGGTGGCAGACACCTCTAATCCCAGCTACTTGGGAGGCTGAGGCAGGAGAATTGCTTGAGCCCGGGAGACGGAGGTTGCAGTGAGCCAAGATGGTGCCAATGCACTCTAGCCTGGGTGACAGAGCGAGACTCTGTCTCAAACAAACAAACAAACAACAAAATATATATATATATATATATATATATATATAGTCAGTTAAGAAATATTAGGAAGTGAATGTAGCTGAGGCCAGATTTCATGTGAGGTCTGATATTAATTATAAAGAAGCAAGCACTTTCATGTGTTGCAGTGATGAAAATCAGAGGGAAAGAGGAAATTCAACATTTGGTCTCACGTAATCTGTGTAAAATTTCCCTCCCTGGGCCGAGCCAAGATACTACCTGACTCCCATGACATGGAGAACACCATTTTGTTGATAAACTATTATAAGATTTCCAAATTAAACTTTATTTTCTTGCTTCCATCATGTGTGTGTCTCTGTGCAGGGGACCTAGAGGGACATAGCTACTGGAGGCAAGAAGGGTCTGGTATCGGGGACAATTTAACTTCTAGTCTTAGTAATAATTCTGCCTCTTTAGCTCTGGTTTCGTCCTATCCTTAGGTTAGGAACAGCCTCCTTTCTATCCGCTACCTAACACTTCACCTGGAGATGCCACCATTTCTCAGAATTTTGTAGCTAGGGCTCAGCCAGTTTCACTGAATGTCAGTGAATGACCAAAATACATCTCTGGCTTTTCTTGTCTGTCGTGTTCTGCTTCAGCTATCTTCAGAACAGCTGTCCTCGGGCTCAGCCCATCCAGTCTCTGCACATGCCTAGTCCAAAAGATTAATGGTAGAGCAGCTCTTCCCAGCAGCGAGGCCGGCTGTGTTCCACGATTTGGTCAAGACTCATTTTTCTTTCTCTTGGATGACCGTGGGTACTGTGGGTGATAGTAACAAGGCTGCTCAAGAAGCCAGATACAATCCAAGGTCCGGATAATCCCTGTGGGATAAGCTATCCATGAAGCTTTCCCTGACACAGCAGCCCAGATGATCTCTATTTCAGTAAACTCCTCAAAGTTGTCGCTTCAGCTTCCTTTGTATATGATTATATAATTCAGCATTAACGTTTAATAAGTTGCCTACAAAATAAAGTAGAAAAATACTTGCCCTGATATTTAAAGTCTTTTAAAATTTGACCTCCACTAATGTTTCAATTTGTGTCTGCTATCTGAAATCCACTCAGTTCACGGCAAGGTGGTCCTTCATTCTTCACTCTGCCTTGACGCTGTTTCCCCATCATGCTTACCCTGTCTTCCTATGTAAATCTATAGGGCAACCAAAGTGATTCTTTTAATATTGTAAGCCAGGTCATGTCATTCTTCTGCAGACAAGCCTCTAGAAGATTATTTTGCCACTCAGGGGAAAAATAAATAAGTAAATGCCTTTGACATGGTTCCCAGGCCTTGTCTCACATTCTGTTCTGTCTCATTCTGCTCTAACCACACCAGCCGTTTCCCCCTTCCTCAATATGCCCAATAGACTTCCACCTTATAATTTTGCACTTATTTTTATTTTTACCTGGAATGCTGTTTCTTTAAATATCTAATTGTGTCTTTCTTCACTTCTTCAATTCCTTTTGGTCTCAATTCAAATGTCTCCTTGACAAAGCAGATATTGTTAACCAACCTATCCAAACTGCCATGCCCCACTGAGCCCCCACTGCCGCGTGTCACTCTCTAGCCCCTTTCTCTCTTATATCTTTCTTTGTGACACCTCCATCACATACAATATGCATTTTGTCATTTGTGTATATACACATTGACTTTCCCTTTAAAATCAAGAATCTTGGGACCAGAGACAGTGTCGTATTCATTTCTGCATTTCTATCTTTAGAATACATCAGCATGCTCAGTATGCAGTTTGTCCTTGATGTAATTTTCTGGAATGATTACATAAATGAATAAATAAATGTCAAACATCCTGTCCTGTCAGGCATTTGCTTAGGTTTTCCAGTTTTTGTTTATGCCACTCCCTCTTTTTTGCTACGTCTTAGCCTGACCTTTCCTTCCAATTTAGTTCACATCCTTGATCTTATTATTTGTACTGTTCACAGTGAGCTTTCCTTCCTATGAACTCTAATAGGAAAAGTTTTGAATGAAAACTATATTTGACAATTATGAAGCACAATATTATTTCCTTAAAAGTCTTAGGTATTTGAAGGCAATTACATTTTGTTGCTTTTTCTGCATCTTCAATTTCTTTTTGTCCTAAACTTTGAAAATAATATCTTATTGAATTTGGGTAAATAAGATTATTTTCAAACACTTTTGTAAGATCTACTGTAGTTATAGCTAGTCTCTCCAAAAGAATACTTTCGATATTATTAGTCATGGTTTGTTCTGTTTCAGAAATTGAATAAACTTGTTTTCCCTGAAATATACATTTAACCAATTAAAACGTGCAGTTTTTCTGGTCCTTGATGAATTTCTATGAGTATAGACTTCAAACACTGTGCAATTTGAATGACTGAAAGTTGTTCTTAGGTCTGTATCATTTATAATTGTGATATTGGCAGCATCATAAATAGATATAACTTCTAAATAATTGCAGAAACATTAAATTATAGTGACCATATTTTCACTATTGATTTTTTAAAGTACTCTAACTTTCTTAAGATCAGAAATTTGTATTGGAAAAAATAAATGCAACTTCTTTCTACTCTAACTTACCATAAAATTTCAATGAGTTCTCTTTTACCTATATATTAGTATTTTATTATCGGTATTAGTGTAAACATTTGTTGTGTTTCAGATTACAATTCTCTTTCTGGGAAGGATTAAGTCTTGCAGTTATAAAATGAAGAAAGATAATAATATGTACCTCATTGGAACATAGTGAAAGTTAAATGAAAAATTCATATAAAATACTCAGCACAGGTTCTGAGAATACTGAAAATATAATAAAAATGCTATTGTTAATATTGTTATTTATTTTTCTATGGAAGAACCTAGGATATTTATAGTATAAATTTCATGCTAAATAGATATCTATAGACAAATAATTGATGGATAGATGCATGGATGGGTGGATAGATGAATGGTTGGAGTGACTGATGATTAGATGCGATTTAGAAGAAAGACTTCCCATGCCATTTTTTAAAGATTTGGCATCCCTGTGGAGAAGATAGAGATGAGCATACGTATGTTCACTCGTCCCAGTAGGCCTTGTCTAGATAATGCATATCTGGTGAAGAAAATGTAAAGATTAGCTGAGTGATGTGTAGGGGTTGATATTACTTTAGCCCTAGTTCATCATATCTTTTTATCCCCATAATAGCTCGATGTGGCAGGCCAACTTTTTTTTTTTTTTGATTTACAGATGAAGACATCTGAGGCTTAGGAATATGACATAACTTTCTCAAGGTTTCACATAGGTGGGAAAATATAATCCATCTCCAGCACTTTTTGTATTTCATGTTAATGTCTCTCACTAGGCCCTACCAAATAGTGATTTTCTTTCTCGAGTCCATGTCCAGTTGTTAATTCAATGTGAGAGACATAGTTCAAAATATAGGGCAGAGCTTGGTTCCTTCTGGGAATTTGGACTAAGGCAACTTCCCAGTATTAAGTCATATTAAGATATATGTGGCTGTGAAAAAATTGAGCCTATCTGTAAAAAGCCTGTGAGAAATCACAGAACAGGCTATACCATAGATCATCGCTGCCAGCTGGTTATAATTTGTGTCCCAAATATTCAAGCAACTCTGTATTCATTGTTAAGTTGTGATCTTGGTGTTGGTCATTGTGCCTTAACAAATAAATAAGGGTGTAGTTTTTATTATCACAATGCTGTAACCAACTGAGCTAACTGTCTGGGTTGTAGTTTTTAAATGTCAAAATAATGTGTGAGGTGTATTATACATTTTCTATTAACTTTGCACTGTATGTTTACTCTCAGTGATGACACTTAAGTTTATATTATTTATATAATATTATTTATATTATTTATATTATAATAACCAAAACCAAATATTTAAATACATTTGGCTACAGAAAAGTTCATCTTTCTTCCCAGGGCTCAAGAATAGTTTGCTAGAGGCTTGATCCTGATTTAACCACTTCTGAAACATTAACTGGACCGGGGAGATAGATGCAAGCCTATCTACGTAATTTTTTTTGTGAAGAGTAAAATTATTTACTATTGTAATACCAAAAAATATATATTTTTTCAAAAGAAGACAAATCAAGACGTTGTCTTTTATTATTTAAATTAAGGGCAGCTTATTAGCCAGTTGAATTAGATAATGACAATAATAAATGTGAAACAGTTATTACATATTTACTATATTCTGAGTACTGTGTTAAGCACATGGGCTGTATAATTAAACTCTCATCGTAAGACTAGGAGAAAAGAAATACGCGGTCCATATGTAAATCACAGAATTATGTGACCCACTGCTACATGAAAACACTAAGCCTTTAAGAGATCAATACATGAATAATACAATGTGTGGTAGAGGGGACCTAAATCCTATGTTCATTCCACCACAACCCATGCTCTTAAATAACTGTGTTTCATATTAATAGGTAAGGGAAAAGGCACAAAGATAATTTTTTTACCAGAACAAGGAAAAATTAGAACCCCCCATTTTCAAGCATGCCAAAGTATATTCAAAGTTAACTAATCTAAAGGTTAGAGAATAAATAAAGATAATAAAACACTGCTTGATTTATCTTGATTTATCTCTTTGGAAATCATGAAACTCCCCCTCTATTTTTTATCAAATACAAAACACAATAAAGGTCATACTTTTGGACATACATGATTCTTGAGCAAGTAGCAAATTACTGACCTTTCTATCTCTCTCTCTCTATATATGTATATATATTTTTTCTTTTCTTTTCCTTTCTTTTTTTCTTTTTGAGACAGAGTCTCCCTCTGTTGCCCAGGCTGAAGTGCAGTGGCACGATCTCGGCTCACTGCAAGCTCCGCCCCTCAGGTTCACGCCATTCTCCTGCCTCAGCCTCCCCAGTAGCTGGGACTACAGGCACCCACCACCACGCCTGGCTAACTTTTTGTATTTTTGGTACAGATGGGGTTTCACCATGTTAGCCAGGGTGGTCTCGATCTCCTGACCTCGTGATCCGCCCGCCTCGGCCTCCCAAAGTGCTGGGATTACAGGCGTGAGCCACTGTGCCGGGCCTTCTCTCTACATATTTTTACAGTGACATTACACTCAATTAGAAAAAGCTGACCAATTAAATACATAATATATTTTTGTTTTATTGATGACTCTCACTGCTAACACATCCTCCCAAAATACTTTACCGTGTGGCTATTTAGAAATTCGGTACAATTTATTTTTGAAATGGCCACTTGCCAGATTGACAGACAGTGTGCTTTCTTTGTTAATGTGACCTGTTTCTTATGCATAAATGGCAAAGGCTGAGCTGTGTTCTTCCAGTGGAATTCAGAAGTGGAACTTATAGAATGATTTTTGTAGTCAAACAGTGATTGTTTTTATATGGCATATAGCTCCATACTTGAAATTAAATTTTCATGACATTGCCCACAAATCTTTCTGAGAAGAAAAAAAAAGGATTCCTGATTAAATTTGGCATAGTGAACATGCCATTTATCTTTTCTGTTTCTTAAAACTTTACTAAAATGATACAACATGGCTGTGCACAAAGGTACATATCCTCAATAACTGTGTTAGAATATGAGAAAACAGTAAGGTAAAAATTAATCGACTGGTGACTGTGTGGTAGTTTAAGAAAATGAATCTTAAGCTGGAATTGGGAAAGTCATTCAGAGATTACTTTCATAAAAGATTCAAATGGCGTATTAATTGGGTGCATCAGGTAATGGGGTTTATAAACAAGAGGATTATTTAAAATTCTGTTTATGGGCCGGGTGCAGTGGTTCAAGCCTGTAATCCCAGCACTTTGGGAGGCCAAGGCAGGTGGATCATGAGGTCAAGAGATTGAGACCAACCTCACCAACATGGTAAAAATACAAAAATTAGCTCAGCATAGTGGCGCATGCTTGTAGTCCCAGCTATTCGGGAGGCTGAGGCAGGAGAATTGCTTGAACCTGGGAGGCGGAGGTGACGGTGAGCTGAGATCGCACTAGTGCACTCCAGACTGGCGACACGCGAGACTCCCTCTCAAAAAAAAAAAAAAAATCTGTTTATGAAGAAATCTGAGTGCCAAATCCCATGCCCATATTGATGCAACAATGAGTCAGTTCTTCCACTCTCCAGCAGAAGCCTGGGAGTCCCTAGAGGGGGATATGCTGCCACTTACGCAGGAGATTGGAAGCCTCTTTGCCAAGGATTATCATCCTACTCCACACACATACATAAAAGTAACCCAGAAAGCTATTGACATTGGAGGTTCTCTAAGGAACCCATTCAAACTACTGTACAGTAAAGATGACAGTTAACAAACATCTTACATTCGTGCAGAAATTTCAATGCATGTTATGGTGTCCCTGCTCTTAAATATGAATCAGGATTACCAGACATATCAAGAAAGCATCTAACATGAAAGGCAGACAAAAAGAAATAGAAAAATAGAGCATAAACAGAAGCACTGTAACTAATATATATTATTAAATTCAAAAAAATTCTAATATAGTAAATGGTCTGATGGAGACAAGCTGTTTATTGGTTATCAAATCATAATATAAACACTGACAATTGAGAGACAATATAACATAGCAGTTAAAAACATAGGTTTTGGAGCCAAATTTCTTGAGACTGAACTTCAAATCTACAGGTTACTAACAGAACTTCACCAAATTACTTACCTCCTGTCTGCTTCAGTTTTATTTCTACAAAACGTGCATAAAAATAATACCCGCCTTCCGGGTGGATCACGAGATGGAGACCATACTGGCTAACACAGTGAAACCCTGTCTCTACTAAAAAATGCAAAAAAAATTAGCTGGGTGTGGTGGCAGGCACCTGTAGTCCCAGCTACTCAGGAGGCTGAGGCAGGAGAAGGGCTTGAACCTGGGAGGTGGAGCTTGCAGTGAGGGAGATCACGCCACTGCACTCCAGCCTGGGCAACAGTGTGAGATTCTGTCTCAAAAAATAAATAAATAAATAAATAAATAAATAATACCTGCTTCCAAGATCAGGAAATAATGCTTTGAGGATTAAATGAATAAGTATTTGTAAAGTTCTTACAGAATACTTAACATATAAAAAGCACAATATAAATATTTTTAACAAATTTAGCATGGTTGATCTAAACAAACTCATGATGTAACTGAAATATTAAAGTGGAGAAATAGAAGTTAATTTATGTGTGGTGGAGATGGAGATGGCAAGTAAAGGATTTAAATACTAATCTACAGCGGGAGAGGCATTGCTAAACTGGATAAACCATGGAAAAGCAATATGCAAATATTATTTAGAAACGCTGTGGACTGTCTCACCCAAAAGTAAATGTAATGTTTGAATAATTTTCTTTAGGGATCAAAAACATGGGACAGTGATTGCTGGAACAATACTAATTCTAAAATAAGAATTTTAGAATAATGTAACTCTTTACACACAGAAACACATTACTTTTAAAATTTTACTTAGGAATTATAAATATGTTATACACTAGTTCCCCCTTACCTATGGTTTTGTGTTCTATGGTTTCAATTACTTCTGAGCAACTATGGTTCAAAAATATTAAATGAAAAATTCCAGAAATGTATAATACACCTTATTTTTTAATTTTTAAAAATATACCTTTCAAAGTTTATTTTAGATTAAGGGGGTATATGTGCAGGTTTGTTACATGGGTATATTTCATGACACTGAGGTTTGGGGTATGATTGATCCCGTCACCCAGGTAGTAAGCATAATACCCAATAGTTAGTTTTTCAACCCTTGGTCCCCTTCCTACCCTCCTGCTTTAGTAGTCCCAAGTTTCTATTGTTACCATCTTAATCAACATACATACTCAATGTTTAGCTCCCACCCATAAGTGAGAACATGCAGTAAGGTTCCCTGCTCCTGTGTTAATTTGCTTAGGATAATGGCCTCCAGCTGCATCCATGTTGCTCCAAAGGACAAGCATTCACTCTTTTTACTGGCTGCATAGTATTTCATGCTGTATATGTACCACATTTTCTTTATCCAGTCTAATGTGGATGGGCATCTGGGTTGATTCTATGTCTTTGCTATTGTGAATGGTCCTGTGATACATATGTGAGTTCATGTGTCTTTTTGGTATAGTTTATATTATGTTGGATATATATCCAGTAATGGGATTGCTGGGTTGAATGGCAGTTCTAAGTTTTTTGAGAAATCTCCAAACTGCTTTACAAAGTTGTTGAACAAACTTACACTCCCACCAATGGTGTATAAGCATTCCCTTGCATCCACAGCTCACAGCATATGCTAATGTTTGACCTTTTATCATAGCCATTCTGACTGGTGTGAGATGGTATCTGATTGTGGCTTTGATTTGCATTTCTCTGATGAGTAGTGATTTTGAACATTTTTTCATATGTTTCTTGGCCACATTTATTGTTTTGAGAAGAAGTGTTTGTTCATGTCCTTTGCCTGCTTTTTAATAGGGTTATTTGTTTTTGGTTGTTTAGTTAAGTTTGTTGTGGATTGTGGATAGTGGACCTTTACTGGATGCATAGTCTGTAAATATTTTCTCCCATTATATAGGTTGTTTACTCTGGTGATAGTTTCTTTTGTTATGCTGAAGCACTTTAGTTTAATTAGGTCCCACTTGTCAATTTTTGTTTTAGTTGCATTTCCTTTTGAGGACTTAGTCATAAATTCTTTCCCAAGGCTGATGTCCAGAATGGTGTTTCCTAGGTTTTCTTCTAGGATTCTTACAGTTAGAGGTCTTACATTTAAATATTTAGTCCATCTTGAGTTGATTTTTGGATACGGCATAATGTGAGTACCAGTGCAACAGAATAGAAAAGCCAGAAATAAAGCCACACACCTACAGTCATCTGATCTTTGACAAGTATGACAAAAATAAGCAATGAAGAAAAGACTCCCTATTCAATAATTTATTTGGGGATGACTGGGTAGCCATATGCAAAATAATGAGACTGGATCCCTAACTTTCTTGTTTTAAATCGCACGCCGTTCTGACTAGGGCATCAAATCCAACACTGCACCACTCCATTCCGCCTGGGATGTGAACCATCCCTTTCTCTAGAGTCTTCATGCTGTATACACTACCTGCCTATTAGTCACTTAAGAAGCTTCTTGGTTATCAGATCAAATGTCACTGTATCACAGCTTGCTTTCAAGTAACTTTTATTTTACTTAGTAATGGCTCCAAAGAGTATAATAATGACAAGAGTAATGATGCTGGCAATTTGGATATGCCAAAGAGAAGCCAGAAAGTGCTTCCTTTAAGTGAAAAGGTGAAAGTTCTTGACTTAATAGGGAAAGAAAAAATGTATACTGAGGTTGCTAAGATTCATAGAACAAATCCTTTATCCATGAAATTGTGAAGAAGAAAAAAAAATCTGCTGGTTTTGCTGTCACACTTCAAACTTTATTATAAGTGGGTTTGTCTGAGAAACATATATATAGGATTTGGTACCATCCTTGGTTTCAGGCATCTAGTGAGGGTCTTGGAATGTTCTCTTCGGATTAGGGGAAACAATTGAATCCGTGTTATTAAAATATTAAGAAAGCAACCCCAGTATTGTTTAACCACATATTCTGATATGATTATCATTTTGATCATTTTCTTGAACTTTTTAAACACTTGAATTTTTCTGTGGACGTGAAACCCTCTTGCTACTTTCTGACCCTGTTTTGATTTGCAGGGCCCTTAGTAGTGGTAGTCATAGCAGCCAGAATATAAATGTTATGGCACTGGTTTTTACTTTGCCATGTGAATAATGACTCCCCTGCACTCCCTTGCTGCATTTTCAGGGGTTGGAATTAAAATAAATGATTCTCTTAGATGAATGGGAATAAATTTCTTACTCACTTTTATTTTACTAAACTCCATAACCATTAGAGAATGAAGTCATTACCTGCATTTAAAGGAAAGAGAACAAGAAGCACAGGAACGTTACAAAGGAATTATGTGATTGATCATCTGTCTTTAACTCAGAAAGGATATTATGACTTACATGTTATTATCCATAGTCATATTAATCATATTTGGAGAAAATGTACTGAAATTAACAAAAGAAAGATATATTCTACATAGTATGTGGAACTTCAAGACTCCGAGGAAAGGATGGTGGGGAAGGTGAAGGAACCATGTATCTCTCTTGAATAATTTAGTTGTCGGAGGCAAGGTGTTAGACTTAATCAGACATCACAAACTGCAAGCCAGAAGAAATCAGGCAGGAACATAAATGAGCAAAGATATCAAGCCTAGAAAAACCTGCTCCCAGTCTACCTTTGCTGACAGCAGCCATGCAGAAACACAGTCCAGGTGCAAGAGACATTTCCATTCTTCAAGAGTAGCCAAGAATCTAGAGTTTTGTGTCAAAAGGTTAATTTGAAATGTTTGACAGTTATTGAAGGAAGGAAGGAAGAACAGGAGAGAGGGAGATGGGGGAAGGTCAAATAGCATGGGCCCAGTCCACAGACTCCTTTTTTTGACCTCTAGGCTTAATGAATCGTTTAAAGAAGCTTCCAGCCATTGGATTTTAGCATGTCTTCATAGACTTACAACAAAGCAGGGGAATATCTTACTTTATGCCTTTTTCTAAACTTTGATAATACTATCTCTATCATATAGTCAAGCTGGCAAGTAGAAAATACATAGAAATTTACTTTCCATTTTCTGATGACATATAGTTTTCCAAAGCAAATTATTTAAAAGCTGAGTCCTAATTATTATTCCTATCACAGCCCATCTGATTAAGTCTTTCACTTCTTAGTGGAAATAAATATAAATTGGAGCAATATTTATATTGCCTTTCTATAGAGAAGAGGGTATGTTATTGAAATGTATTGTTTACTGGATGAAGCTGAAGAGGGAAGCTAGTGGTTTTTAAACAGATAATTGTCTTTGAAATCTGAAGCAATCTAGTGTTTTAGCTCCTGGAAATTGCATTTACCCAACACACTGATATTGTTGTTATTATAAATCATTTAATAAGTCCTAGCTTTTATTAGTTTTGTTGCAGCTAACTAAAATTGGGGCACAATAAAATCCAAATTGATGAATTTTGCATAAGAATACTTTTGTGACTGGAAGAACATTGTGTTCTCTAAATTTATAAGAGTTAAAGGGAACAATTGGATGGCTACTCAGAAAGAAACAGTCAGATTTCAATTAGCACTTTAACAAAACAGCCCATGTATTTCCACCTATAGGCTTGATTCTGATCATTCAGTTTAATTTAAAAATCAGACTGTATTTTGGACTGTATGTTTTTTCCATAGCTACTGACTACTGTGATACTGGAAAATTGATTTTTACTGTTATTTGTCTGACTAATTTTTGGTTTACATTGCTTAGTCAATCCATATTTGATGCTCTTTTAATAACAAATTTTTAAAAATGGTAGTGATGCATGATTTCTATGTATCATGTTCTTTGTAAATTGATTTACTTTGAAACAACATTGATACTTGTTTTGCATTTACAGGGTAGTAAATAATTTGCTTACATGTATACACAGATTCTGGATCCCATAAGGGCGGGGGACTGATTTTACTCACTAAATATTCAGTACCTGGAACAGAGTAGATTGCCTACACCTTGATTTTAGTGAAAGTTTACAGAACACAATGAAATATAACTTTTGTTGTCAGCTATGTTCTTTCTTTGATACATGGATATTTTAAATAACTATAAAACTGATAAGGCCATCTTATAGCTTGTGTGTATGTGTGTGTGTGTGTGTATGTGTGTAACTGCTAGATCCCTTTGTATTTAACCATGGGGGTAGTAGACAACTATTGCTGTATTAAAAAATGTTATGGAAAAGTGTCCTATGTGACTGGAGTTGAGATCCCGAGGCTATCCCTGATCACGACAATGACTTGAAGGAGAGAAAAATGACCATCTACAGACATTCAGAAATCGATCTGAGACTCATGTTAGACCATGTTATTCTCTTGATAGACACAAGCCATCTCACAGAATAACAACCTCAGATGAGATCACTCTGAGGTTGTGACAAGTTTAGATAAAATAAATCCATTTTATAATTTTGTCTAAGCACAGTCAAAAACTATGTCCATGTGGAACCCACAGATAAATAAATGACTGCTACTTCTTTAATCATTGGAATTGTGCTTTTATTCTAATCTCCTATTGTTATAGATAATATTTATTGAGATAGCCAACCACAGAATTGCCCTCACTTTCTAGATGCATGCAATCTAGAGGGAACCCCACTTCTTTAGACTTTCCCCCAGTAACCCAACCAAAGCCCAAATCCTTCAATAGTTTCATTTAAACACCCTCTTACTGAAATACTCCATGGTTCTCCATGGTTCCCCATGGTGTGTATTTGCTCTTCATGCAATGAATAACAGACCCAACCTATTCAGGTGTGTTCTTGACTATATTTGACTGGAGGACATTGACAACCATAATAATGGCCAAAACAACAATAATAATAACCCGCTGCTCACTTTACTATAGCCACAATCCTCTTGCTAGAAGAACACAACACATGCTCCTTAGGATGTTTGCTGTTGCTGCTAATTCTGCCTGGAGCATTACTCACTAAATATCTGCAAGCTTCTCTCTCATTTCCTTCAGATCGATACAAAAATATATGGTGGATAACAAACTACTCAGAGGCTTAAACAACATTATTTTATTCTTATTCATAATTGTATGTATTAGCTGATGGACTGATAAGCTAGACTGGGCTTAACTGGGGGTCTGTGTTCCAAGCTGCGATCCTGAAGGACTGGGATTCTTACTGTGAGTTGAGTTCCTGTATTTGTATTTTCTGGCTCCTGGTAAGGGGCTACAACTTCTC
Source organism: Homo sapiens (assembly GCF_000001405.40). Taxonomy (NCBI): domain Eukaryota; kingdom Metazoa; phylum Chordata; class Mammalia; order Primates; family Hominidae; genus Homo; species Homo sapiens. Next base: position 162,422,688 of record NC_000005.10, read on the forward strand.
ATAAGGAGTGCTTCTTCTGCAGATGATAGAGGCACAAATCGATATACCGCTCTGCACAAGTAAGTTTCAAGACTTTGTTTTCTCCACCTCTGCAAACATTCCATTGTCCAAAGCAAGTCATATCACTGAGCCCAAAGTCAAAAAGCAGGGTGGTATACCCCTCCCTTGTGGTAGAAACAGCACCGTTATATGAAAAAGGATGTGGATACATAGAGGGGTAAAGAACTGTGCCAGCCAATAACTCAATCTACCACAAGATCTCCATATACATTTTCTTTGCAGAGAAATCTTTTTTGATTACCCTGCCTTAGATCAAAGATCCCCCCACTCCACCACTTTCTTATCAAACTTTAAGTAATTATAGCTACTTAAGCTGTATCTGTGTCAATATGATTGATTGTGTGTGTGTTTATTATCTGTTTGCTGCCATCAATGCTACCTCCCGCCCCCAACCCCACACTATAATATAAACTACAAGGAGCAGAGAATCTGGTCAGGGTTGTTTATTGCTGTGTCCTCAGTGCCTAGAATAGCACCTGGTAATTGTTAAGCACTCCACTGAATATTAAGGACACTGATATTCTGAAGTCAAGATGACAGAAACATCTCTAGACTCTGACTCTTCAGTAGGTAGGCAATGCTCCTCCTTTGCGGCCAAAGGTGGAGACTGTAAAAACAATATCAAGCTATATGTGAAATGTGAGATACAGGATTATATATTGATGTATTGTCACTTGGCTGAAATACCTTTTTTGAGATAGTAGGAAGAGAAAGATTTAGTAATATTTACTAATTAAAATATGGCTCATGTTTTCTTTACACAGCCTGTTTCCAATGTGGAAATGATAATAAAGAAGCAATAGAGTATTGACATACTAAATCCAATAGGTCAGAATAAAAAAAAAAGCCTAAATCTTAAAATAACAGTCTAAGAGCTTTACTCCAGAAAAAGTTAAATTTATATTGGTTTTCCTATATTTCTCTTCTTTTTTTTATTTTTTATTTTTTTAAATTTTTTTTATTATACTTTTAAGTTTTAGGGTACATGTGCACAACGTGCAGGTTAGTTACATATGTATACATGTGCCATGTTGGTGTGCTGCACCCATTAACTCGTCATTTAACATTAGGTATATCTCCTAATGCTATCCCTCCCCCCTCCCCCAACCCCACAACAGGCCCTGGTGTGTGATGTTCCCCTTCTGTATATTTCTTTTCTTAATGACCGTAATAGCCATTTGCTCTTAGAGATTTCATTGAAAATTAATGCTTCATTGAAAAAAAAATGAGTGGTTCCTGTACTCATATATCATAAAACATAAAGATGTATGGTGAAGTCGACAAGATCACTTCTTTATTTTTTAAATTTGTTAAAATGTTTTTCTTAACACAAGGTGCAGGTCTAAGTACAGTGGAGAGGTAGCAGTAATATTTAACAGTCAAGTTGAAAAACTCCCTAATTTAATTTTAAATGTTCTTGGATAGTTCTACTTCTAATTACATAAAAGAAGAAAATAACTATATTAAAGTAAAGGTGAAAATATATTTCTTAAAAATCAAATTCATTTGAAACCTGACATTAAAATATTAAATCTATTGTGAGATCAACATTTTACCAACATTTCATAGAAAAAATTACATATACTTTTAAGCAAAACATTTGACTTATTAAAAATGACACCTCTTTACTATGTTACAAACTGTAGACAGTATTGAATATCCACATATCTGAAAGTATATTCATGTGATATAAATAAGTAACACAAATAAATATGGTGTTTTTTCCATTTTAAAATTAATACTTCTTGGCTTCAAGAAAGTTTTACGTTGAAGTTGGAATGTAAAAAAGATCAAAGATGGAAGAGTGTTAAAAGTTAATCTGTTGAGCAATGCCAAAACCTCATTACGGGATTCCTTTCAGATGTTCATCCATCTTCTTTTTAAATACCCAAGAATGGTGAACTTACTGCTGCCTAAGACACTCCATGCTAGTGTTGACAACCCATTTATGAGTAAAGTTCTTTCAATGCTCAGTCACCTGGAAAAATAATAACGTATAAGTTGCTGGAAATTCTCTTCTACTGGTTATAACAGCAAAAGTATATATTCAAAATGGAGACTAAGATTCCAAAAGTTGTATCTTCAAAGGTCCTTTCAGGTCATGTGACTGCAAATGTTTGCAACAGTTTTCTTCTTGCAATTTTTAAACGATATAATTTATACCATTTTTAAAGTTATGGAGGCTGAGATCTACAAGAAAGGGAAAAAAAGAACAATGGTGCACAAAACTATCAATAATAAATAGTTTAGATTGAAATCTACAAGAGTTTAAACCATAGTTGAGGACTCTAATTAAGCACCCAAAGTAAAGAAGATCCGTGATTGGGGTATCTACATCTACAAACTAAAATATATGATAACTGATCATAAAATGGAAAAAAAAGAAAGATGACAATTTTATTCATTCATTCATTTATTCCAAAACTATTTATTGAGCACATATTAGGTGCCAGAACCTGTGTTAGACACCTTAAAGCTCATAAACACAGAGACTTTTGTAAAATCCCTATGGAAGTAAAAAAAAAAAAAAAAAAAAGAGAGACTTTGTATATATAAAAAAATTGGTACCAACCTTGTCATAGAGACACTATTACAAATTTGGCTTTTACTAAAAGGTAATACAGGTGCTTGCTGTGGCATCTCAGATTGAGAACAAGGTTCATTTGTTGGTGCAATAAATTGCTAAGAGCAGTGAAATAGAAAATGACTCTACAGCTGAGTAAAGCCCTAGGTACTGAACCATCGCACTAGGTTCTACTCAATTGAGCTAATGGGTATAGAATCTAGCACTGGCTCTTGCTAAAACCTACAACTTTTCATTTAGTTAAGCAGAAAAAATATACCATGTGAAAAAATGCACCTCAGTGTAATATGCAGGTATTAATCTCTGTTAATTTTTGAGGTACAAAATAAGATCAGTAGCTTATTGGTTTGCCTTTAACATGAATTCAGTTTGAATGTGATATCATCTGTTGCTTTATTGAGAGAAAAGTAAAGATGGCTAATGCTTATAATGGCCTCTTTATTTTTCTTAGACTTAAGATAAAAATTAAACTATATGAGACTCTGACAGAAATTTCAATTCTAACTGTTTCAGAAGAACCAGAATAGACATCTCTTTTCTGAGTCTTTGTTCTTTATACTTTGGAAGAGAGAGATTTTAAATTTATTTGAAATAGTGATCTTGCAAAATCTTTCTCCTTCACAAGATTTTTCTAGTAATTTATGGACCAAGGTGGGCCATTTAAAAATTAATTGACTATGTAGATACCATGTGTTTGGGTCTCTGGAACTATATGACATTCATAGTTGTATACATTTTTCTTAATATATTGCTAGATGATCTGTGTGAAAGTAATGCCCTTGGAGCCCACTTTCAGGAAGATATAAATAACTGTAAATGTGTTGTGCTTCATAGTACATCTCTTTAATTGCAAATTTCTTAATTTTATTAAGGCACATAAATATTACTTATCTGCTTTTAAAGTACTACTTATAGATAATAAAAATAGAAATAGATTTATTTTCATAAGATTAATTGTCAGGGCACATGCACATAATGTACAAAATTAACCACATTAGGGATCCAGAAAAGGATGTTATCCAAAATTCTCTTCTTTGAATCTTGAAATTTTGAACCTCAAGAATTCTACACAAATATCCACAAGACTAGTAAATCAATGAAATTCATAAGTCAATAATTATTGTCCAGTAAATTACTGAAGATCAAAACCTGAAACATGGTTTAGACCAGGAGTCTGCAAGCACTCCTACAAGTTAAATCCAGCTTGCTGTCTTTTTTTTTTTTTTGGAAGTTTGTATTAGAACGCAGCCACATTCATTTCTGTACTTGCTGTCTATGACTTCTTTGGTGTTACAATGGCAGAGGTGTGTAGATGCAACAGAAAGTCCATAAAGCCTAAAATATTTACCATTTGACCCTTTACAGAAAGTATGCTCATCTTGGGTCTTTACTGTTTATTATGCTGCAATCCACGTTCTTATTAATCAATAAATCTTATCAATACTACCTCCTAAATGAACAAATTTATTTTATTTCCTCTTTCCTATTATCTCTGCTACAAACCTAATTCAGTTCCTTATAATATAATATCTATCTGAATTAAAGGCAGTATTTTCTTAACTGTTCCCCAGTAGCCTCTCCCTAATCAATTCATCCTTAGTCTTCCTGATGTGTGAAAACATAGCTCTATCTCCTAAACTTCTTTCTGAGAGATTGAGAAAGTTACCCAAACTTCTTTGTATCTTGTATAAAGCTCTTCCTAGTGCAGCTGTAAACTTAAATTAGCCTTACTCAATATCTTGGATGAACTCAGGGTACACTATCATTTAGCTTCCCATAACATTTTCTTTATGGCCATCTTGGTTTTGCATGTATTGTTTTCTCTACCCACCTCCTACTTAATCCACCAAACTCTGACTCATATTTTAAGTTCCTTCTTAAATGTAGCATGCATGGGTATGACTTTTCTGATTATTTATGGCATAATTGGCAGCATGTGTCAATACGTTATAATAGTACTCTAATTGTACATACCTTTTACCACATTGTATTGTATTTATTTGTATACGATCTTTATATGTCTTCTTTTCTGTGATATTATTATGAACATCTCAGTTAAAGATAAAGACCTTGATTCAATCATCTTCATATCTCCAAAGTCTAGCACAAATCCTAGAAGACAATAGTTGTAAAATTAGTGTTTCCTTAATGGATATGTATAAAAGATAGTAATAGGAATAACCTAAAATTATGAAAGTACCTTTTTATGAAGTGACTGATACAGTTAAATCACTATTTTATTCGTTAAATGGAATGTAAAGTGTTCTTCTCAGAAAGATATTAACTATGTGAGGTAATACATATGTTAATTAGCTAGATTTAGTCATTCCACAATGTATATATACTTCAAAACATCATGTTGTACATGGTAAATGCATACAATTTTATGTGCCAATGTAAAAAATAAAATAAAAATCAAGAAAGAAACTACTTAACTAAAAAAAAACTGCTTTAATTTACTCTGACTTCCATTTGTTTAATAATATGCCCTAAATGAAAAAGTCAGTAATTTATTTTATTATTATAAATAGGTGGTGAATGTGTATTTGAGCATTTCCAAATTCCTAGATACATTATCTTTAATAGCTGTCATGTAGATATTTACCCCATCTATATATGTATTTATTTATTTACTCAATTAATCATCTACTGAATGAGT